>NW_003871060.2:0-173151 GCF_000001405.40 Homo sapiens | reverse complement strand
TCAGGGTGATAATGAAGGGAAGGTGGAGGAGTGCGGCTGTGCAGTGAGCTAGAAAACAACCAGTTGAGAAAGGAACAGGGCAGGGGGCTCCAGGAAAAACATTCCTGTGAGAAACAAGAAACAGAAAATACCCAATAAATCTGTCTATAATGGGAAGAGTTTTACGGATCTGTCAAGAGTTTGAGGATGACTGACCTAAGCAACTGAAAAAATAAGACAACTATTAACTCCAGGAGAAACAAAGTTGTACAGGAAAAGGAACTTCATAATGCCACAGCTCATCAATAAAGAAAAGGCTGTCACAATAAAATAAACATTGAATATTAAGCTAACAAAAAATATGAAGTAACTTTATGTGAAGCATGAGGGCGTGAGGTAGAAGGGGAAGAGAATGTGTGTGCTAAGTGCATGTGTGTGAGTGTGTAATTGGTATAAGAATTGATGGGGTAGTGTAAGACGGTAAAAAAAATCCCCTTCTTCCAGGATGGCAAAAATAAAGTGTAAGATTGAAAAAAAATCAAGAAATAATAGTCGAAGCATATTATTTAGAACATGGAGGTGAATATCAGAAGAATCAGCTATAGAGACGAAAGCAGCTGCCTCTGGTAAGCAGGGCTGAGAATGTGGGAACGTATGCAGCACGGAACTGCTCTTTTTGTTATAAACTTGAGGTATCATTTGGCTTTTAAATCATGTACATGCATAAAACAAAAAACCTCAACCTGAACCAAATGTGGCAAAATCTGTTAAACTGAGTGGTGGGTATTCTCGCATTTCATATGTCACTCTCTATTCTTTTCTTGTTTTAAAATAATTCCTATTTTTTTAAATTCCCTTTTTAGCTCTAGAAATTCCATTAATCTATTACTCATTACAATGTTAGTTGCCCCTACTATGTGGATGGAGAAGAGCATAAATGAAGAAAAATACAGTGTTCTTTACATTAAAGGAAAAAAAAAAAAACCTTTGGCCCGGCCTGGTTTTTATTTTCAAACAAACACTTAATATTAATTGAAACAATACCTTGATAAGAAAGTTTTATTTGATATATCAAAAAGAAAAATTCCCAGACATAATAAACAAAACAAGTGGGGAAAGAAGAGAATTTTGAATATGTATGAGCCCATTAATGTATAACAAAACCAAACCTCTTCCTATATGCATACAAACATATACAAAAGTACACGTGAAAAGATCTGGAAGAACAGACAGCAGGCTGGGTGCAGTGGCTCATCCCTATAATCCCAGTACTTTTGGACGCTGGGGCGGGCAGACTGCTTGAGCTCAAGAGTTTGAGACCAGCCTGTGCAACATGGCAAAACCCTGTCTCTACAAAAAAAATACAAAAATTGGCCAGGTGTGGTGGCATGCACCTGTAGTCCCAGCTACTCAGGAGGCTGAGGTGGGAGGATGGCTTGATCCCAGGCTGGGGGGTGTTGAGGCTGCAGTAAGCCGAGATCGTGCCACTGCACTCTAGCCTGGGAACAGAGTCAGACCCTGTCCCCCCAAAAAAAGAAAAAAAAACAACAACAACCAGACACCAAACTGTCAGTACAGTTACCTCTGGGGAGCTAAATGGGTCTGGGGATGGAATGAGAGTGATCTAAAAGTTTATTTTCACTTGTTTTGATTGGTAATTGATAGACATGGTAATAATTTCCAATGGCAAAAAAGATATACATGGTCAAAACAAGTCCCTCTCCCACTTCTGCCCCTAGTTCCCTTCTCCAAAGGCAGCCTCTTATTACTAGTCTGTTACCTTTTAGCATTATTCCAGATACACAGAAGCCTATGTTTACATACAGTACTTACTTTTTAAACTATAAATGTTCTCACACCAGTCATGCTGTTCTACCCCTGACTTTCTTCCTGCAAATAGCCTTTGTCTTAGAAACAATACAAGCTATTTTCCACATACAGTTACCTCCAGCCAGCCTTGCTGGCTTTTATACACCACTTGAGGATTTTCCTGTAGTATGCTGCCATAGAGCTCTCGAAAGTGGGCTATATTGGGCTTCACAATATTCAACACTTTTGTTTTATCTTCTCCAACCACCATCCGAAAGTCACCTAGTTAAAACAAAGAGATAAACACATCTTCCATTAAGAATCCACACTCTCGACCTATGAACGACGCTCCCCACACTGATACCGCACGGGTTCACTCTGGCAGGATCCCTCATCAGAACACTTGCTTTTCCTCCTCAAAACCTGGACACTTTACCCCAAGAAATGTGAGCACTTGTTTGGAGGAAAAGAGGGTCTCTCAAATCACAAAGCCCTTTATGCCAGTTAAATTATAGTTACCTAGTTACACAAGGTAATCACAAGCGAGTAGCTAACTTGTTTTAGCTTTTCCAATGCAGAAGCTTCTGTACCTACAAAGTCTTGTCTTATGGGCCAAATTCTGCCTGTGGCCAATGAAGGAGATAGGAGCTGTGCACCATCACTGTAGACTTGTCCTTGCCATTGCTTCCTCATCGTTGACCTGTCTGTTTATGAGGGCTTTTGAGGCACTTGATGAATATAATCTTATCATATTTTACAAAGGCAAAATAAGGCTTAAAAGTTCTGTAAGAGGAGGTTTGCATTTAAGATGAAATTGAAAACAGATATAACTTTTTAAATTGCAAGTGATGAGAAATGAGGAATGTTACATTTGCCTATGGGATGAATTGAGCTGAAAAACACCTAATTCTGAAAGACAAAAGCATTTCTGAATCAAATGAAAAGTGCCCTGCCAATGCCACTGACAACCATCGGCAAGATGGAGGAGAAAGGAATGGGAAAGTGGACACACTTAAGTGCATGCCTACTGGGCTAATGTGAAATCACAAGAGGCTGGACACACGCAGAACCTTCTGAGTCAAGCGTGGTGAAAGCAATGTGGCTGAATCCTTTGTTGGAGAGGGAGCAAATTGTCAGGGGGAGTAGAGAGGTGGCAAGTGTAGGCAGATAACCCAGCTGCTGAGGAATCCCCTGGGGCTAGGATGACAATATAATTTATCATCCAAACTAGGTCACTTCTGAGGGTGAAGGGATCGCTATAAATAATCACACTACGACAAGTATAAACTGAGCAAACCAGGACATATGGTTACCCTCGCCAATTTCTTTTTTCTGGAGAGGGGAAGGGATCATAGAGGTCATTATTTGCCACAATGGATTTTCCTAGTGCAAACTGTTGGCTTGTTTTAGAAAAAGTAAAAATACAAGGAAGACCAACAATATGTACTTCATTGAGTAAGGAATAAAATATGCTAGGTTTTAAGCTTCAAAGGACCAACTTACACTACAATTTGGTGGAATGCAACTGGGGACTGCAAGCTTAGAAAAACAGACTTCCAGGCTGGGCGCGGTGGCTCACACCTGTAATCCCAGCACTTTGGGAAGCCGAGGCAGGCGGATCACGAGGTCAGGAGATCCAGACCATCCTGGCTAACACAGTGAAATCCCGTCTCTACTAAAAAATACAAAAAAATTAGCCAGACGTGGTGGCAGGCGCCTGTAGTCCCAGCTACTTGGGGGGGGGCCGCAGGAGAATGGCGTGAACCCAGGAGGCAGAGCTTGCAGTGAGCCGAGATCGCGCCACTGCACTCCAGCCTGGGTGATGAAGCAAGACTCCATCTCAAAAAAAAAAAAAAAAGACTTCTAAAGAGCCTCTGGAACCCGATCTTGGTGTACAGGGGGTCTGACTGTTCAGGTGAGTGAGCAGAAGCGAGTCCCAGTCCTAAAAATCTGCTCAAATATGGATGAACTTGTTTTTGTCACTATTATTTTGAAGGGAAAGAGAGTTAGATAGTTAAAACCTGGGATCACTGCTAATGAGGAGGTTGAGAAATCAGTCCTTTCACATATTGCTGTTGACTGCATAAACTGCTAAAATTCTTCTGGAAAGCACTGAAGCAAGAAACCCCATCTCTGGAGCAAGCTTAAAGAAATAAGCCAGAAACACAGAGTAAGACAGAAACACACAGGTAACGTTTACCGAGCATCTGGTAAATACCAGCCACTGTGCCAAGTGTGTTGTGGTATTGCTTCATTTAATACACACAGCTCTCCTCTCAGGTAGATAGGATTCTATCCCCATTCATACACAAGGGAACAAAGACAGTGATTAAGAAACTTGCGTAAGGTTTCCAGGAAGTAAAAATATACTACATATATAAAATTGCTCACTGAAGCACTACTTATAATACTGAAAGCATCCCAAATGTCCAACAACAGGGGAAAGAATGCACTATGATGGCATATGGTTACTATCACAGACAGTAATCACACACAACAAGATGGAAAGTGATCATTTAATATGCAGTAAGAAACAAAGAGATACAAAAGTATAACAGGCTGGGCATGGTGGCTCACATCTATAGTCCTAGCACTTTGTGAGGCCAAGGCCGGGGGAATGTTTGAGCTCAGGAGTTCGAGACCAGCCTGGGCAACATAGCGAGACTCTGTCTCTATGTAATTTTTTTTTTAAGCATACCAAAACAAAAAAAACTTCATAAAAAATGAGAAAAACAAGACAAAGAGACTATATAAAAATGCTTATTTTTGCTCTAATAAAATACATTTATTGTGGGTTTTTGCATGTGTGCTTTAATTTGCTATCTCATTTGGTCATGGCAAAGCTCCATAAAATAAGTACTATTATTCTTAATTTTACAGATGAGGAGATGGACGTGCAAAGACAACATGCCCCAGGTCCAACTGCCTCTCGGTATTAGGGTAGTGAAATTTTAGGTGATGATTTTACTCTATAATTTCCCCCCATTTCCCTCACTTCTATAATGCTGGCATATTACTTTCTAGCATTTTAAAACACATTTATGGGATACACAGATGATGACGTGACAAATGTGAATGGAGTGGTGGCTGAGTTAACTTCCAACTGTGTAAATCCTTACACGTATAAAAATGGATTCCATTAATCTTTGAAGAGATGAAATGTCATCAAATTCTGACTCTAACAAGGCTGGCCCTGAAGTGAAAGATCAGTTTCTAAAACTGTTGAATTCTAAATATTTGTGTCATTCCTTCTTTCTGTACATTCCACAAACAAAAAGTTCCTCAATTTTAGACAGTCACTTTCTGAGAGAAGGATTTACCATTTTAAAATATCAAGGATTATGTTTTACAATCCAAATCTTCCCCCTAAAAGAACAATTGCATGCCATGATTAAAGGACCTAGAAAACACTCCAGGCTCTCGGAGAACAAGGACCGGGGCTTATTTATGTCTGCATCCTTAGCTCCTTGTGCACTGCCTGGCACAGGGAACACATACATCAATAAATGTGTGCAGAACTGAATTTCTCTCACTGGTGTGCAGCTGAACTAGCTCAACCGCAGGGGATAGGAAGCAAATGGGCTTATGACTCATTTCTTCAGAACAAAATGAATAACATCATGGGCACAGCACGAACCAGCATCTGATCATAACAATCAATTTTTCTTACCTTGGGAGATTTGTTTTCAACAAAACTACAGCAATGGATTAAAACTGACTGCTGACTTTATTTTATGCCTCTAGAACTGCCAGTACAATAGGCATCCAAAAGGATTTCTCCTTGACCTTGAAATGATACAAACTCCAAGGCCTGCAAGCCACCTGTAGGTGGCCTTCCCTGTGATTCAGGCATGCAGCCAGCAGTCAGGGACCTCATTACAAGTATGCAGATGTGAAGGGCTGCACAGTACAGCGGCAAGGCCCTGGCTTTCAAGTCTGGCAATGTCCCAGGGTGACTGAGGTCAAGTTACTTAAACCTTCTGAGTCCTTCACTGTAAAATGGCTTAATCACACTAACCTTACAAAGTTGCTTTCAGATTTAAGGAGTTAGGGCAGCAGTCCCCAAACTTTCTGGCACCAGGAAGAGGTTTTGTGGAAGACAATTTTTCCATGGATGTGGGTCCAGGGGACAGTGGTTTCAGGATGATTCAAGCACATTACATTTATTGTGCACTTCATTTGTTATTATTACATTGTAATATATAATGAAAGAATTATACAACTCACCATAATGTAGAATCAGTGGGAGTCCTGAGATTATTTTCCTGCAACTAGACAGTCCCTCTGGGGGTGATGGGAGACAGTGACAGATCAGGCATTTGATTCTCATAAAAAGCCTGCAACCTAGATTCCTCATATATGCAGTTCAAATAGGTATTGCGCTCCTATAAGAATCCAACGCAGCTGCTGATCTGACAGGAGGCGGAGCTCAGGCAGTAATGCAAGTGATGGAGATTGGCTGTCAATACAAATGAAGCTCGCCCACCACTCACCTCCCGCTGTGCGTCCTGGTTCCTAACAGGGTTCCCAAGGGTTGGGGAACCCAGAGTTAAGGTATTAGAGAATGCTTTGTAAGTAGTAAAGCAGATACTACTTATGATATGTATATAGCATAGTCGAAGGATGGAGGGTAGAGGAAGCGCTGGGTCTTGGAGATAATAATTACCGGCTAACTTTTCTCCCTTTAAACGAATTGCAAGACTGCTGTCATTTCAGTTCAGTGAATATCTGAGTGGCTACAAAGTACCAGGAGCTGTGCTAGGCAATGGAGATCCAGGTTGGGCAACCCTAATCTGAACACCGAAAATGCAAAATACCCCCAAACCTGGAAACCTTTTGAGCACTGGCAGGACACCACAAGTGGAAAATTCCACACCTGACCTCATGCAGTGAGTCGCACATATTATTAAAAATATCATATAAAATCACTTTCAGGCGATGTGTATGAGGTGTATATGAAACATAAATGAACTTCGTGTTTAGACCTGGGCCGTCCCCAGGATATCTCATTATATATGTGCAAACATACCAAAATCTGAAAAATTCCAAAATCTAAAATACTTCTGGCCCCAAGTATTTCAGATAAGGGATACTCAGCCTGTCCAGATATAGGCTCTACCTCAGGCAGCAAACAGTATGAAAAAAAGATCATTTCAGTGCAGTTTTTTATGTGGTAGTGTTTAAGGACTGCAGCCCAAACTGGATATTGATATGGCAAAATAATATTCATTTTCATGACTGTTTTTCAGATATAATTCACATACCATGTAATTCATCCATTTAAAGTAAATAATTCAGTATTTTTAATTCTGTTTACAGAGTTGTACAATCATCTCTCCAATCTAATACTAGAATATTCCAGCCTCCCTACAAGAAACCCCATACTCCTAAGTGATCACTCCCCAACTCCCTTCATTCCCCATCCCCAGCCTGAATTTAAACATTGCTGTCATTTTGGTTCAGTGAATATTTGGCTGGCTACAAAGTACCAGGAGCTGTGCTAGACAATGGAGATCCAGGTTGGATCTAATCTACTTTCTTGCCACAGATTTGCCTATTCTGGACATTTTATACACATTGAATTATACACTATCTGGAGTTATTTTTACGACCTTAGCAAAATGTTTTCAAGGGTCATCACACTGTAGCATTTATCAGTACTTCACTCCTGCTTATGGTTAAATAATAGTCCATCGTACAGATGCACCAATTTTATTTATCCATTTCTCAGTTGATGAACATTTGTGCTGTTTCCACTTTTGGGCGATTCATTATGAATAATGCTGCTACGTACAAGTTTTTGTGTGGACATATGTTTCATTTCTCATAGGTAGATATATAGGAGTAGAACTGCTGGGTCATATGGTAGCTATGTTTAACATTTGGAGGAACTGCCAGGCTTTTTTCCAAAGCAGCTGTACCACTTTACAATCTAATCAGCAATGTATGAGGGTCCCAATTTCTCCACATTCTCAACACTTGTTCTTGCCTTTCTTTTTTATCACAGCCATTGTAGCAGGTATAGAATGGCGTCTCTGTGATTTGTATTGATGTTTCCATTTCCCTAATACCTATGATGTTTAACAACTTTTCATGTGCTTACTGGCCATTTGAATACCTTTTCTGAAGAAATGGCTATTCAAATCCTTCTCTTGTTTTTAAACTGGATTGTCTTTTCATTGTTTTGTTGTTGTTGTTGTTTTTTTTTTTTTTTTTTTGAGACAGAGTCCTGCTCTGTTGCCCAGGCTGGAGTGCAGTGGCATGATCTTGGCTCACTGCAACCTCCGCCTCCTGGGGTCAAGCTATTCTCCTGCCTCAGCTTCCCAAGTAACTGGGATTACAGGTGCACACCACCACGTCCAACTAATTTTTTGTATTTTCAGTAGAGACAGGGTTTCACCATGTTGGCCAGACTGGTCTTGAACCCCTGACCTCAAGTGATCCACCAGCCTTGGCCTCCCAAAGTGTTGGGATTACAGGCGTGAGCCACTGCGCCCGGCCTTTCCATTGTGTTTTAAAAATTCTTTATATATTCTGGATACTAGTCCCTTATCAGATGCATGATTTGTAAACATTTTCTTCCATTTTGTTAGCTGCCTTTTTACTTTTTTTTTTTTTTTTTTTAGACAGAGTCTCACTCTGTCACCCAGGCTAGAGTGCAGTGGCATGATCTCAGCTCACTGCAACCTCTGCTTCCTGGGTTCAAGCTGTTCTCCTGCCTCAGCCTCCCTAGTAGCTGGGACTACAGGTCAGGTGTGTACCACCATGCCCGGCTTTTTTTTTTTTTTTGAGACAGAGTCTTACTCGGTCGCCAGGCTGGAGTGCAGTGGCATGATCTCGGCTCACTGCAACCTCCGAATCCTGGGGTCAAGCTAGTCTCCTGCCTCAGCTTCCCAAGTAACTGGGATTACAGGTGCACACCACCACATCCAACTAATTTTTTGTATTTTCAATAGAGACAGGGTTTCACCATGTTGGCCAGACTGGTCTGGAACCCCTGACCTCAAGTGATCTACCAGCCTTGGCCTCCCAAAGTGTTGGGATTACAGGCGTGAGCCACTGCGCCCGGCCTATCCATTGTATTTTAAAAATTCTTTATATATTCTGGATACTAGTCCCTTATCAGATGCATGATTTGTAAATATTTTTTTTTTAGACAGAGTCTCACTCTGTCACCCAGGCTAGAGTGCAGTGGCATGATCTCAGCTCACTGCAACCTCTGCTTCCTGGGTTCAAGCTATTCTCCTGCCTCAGCCTCCCTAGTAGCTGGGACTACAGGTGTGTGCCACCATGCCTGGCTAATTTTTTTTTTTTTTTTTTTTTTGTGACAAAGTCTCGCTCTGTTGTCAGGCTGGAGTGCAGTGGCACCATCTCAGCTCACTGCAACCTTCGCCCGCCCGGCTAATTTCTGTATTTTTAGTAGAGATGGGGTTTCATCATGTTGGCCAGGTTGGTCTCGAACTCCTGACCTTGAGTGATCCATCCGCCTCCACCTCCCAAAGTGCTGGGATTACAGGCGTAAGCCACCATGCCTGGCCTTCCTTTTGTATACATTAGAAAATACAAAAGTAGGAAGTAATAGGGAGGACTCAGGTTCACTATATTGGTTCAGGAAGGAAGCAGTATAATCCACTCATCAAATATTTACTGAGCACCTAGTACATGTCACATACTATTGGAAGCATCCAAACAGAAGGAGCAAAACAAGACAACAATTCCTTCCCTCCACATCCTCAGTGGTGGAACAAAGACCAAAGATCAGCCAGCCAACCAACAATAAGATACAGTGTAGCCGACTGTGGAAAGTGCTATGGGGAAAACACAAACAGGGAAAGACATAGGGAGTGGTGGAGTTGCAGTAGCAGTCAGGGAAGGCCTCCATGATAAGCCAGAACTGAGGCCCACTGGGGTGGGTGTGGGGAGGGGAGGTGTGACCCAGTGGGTCCTGGGGAAGGAGTGACCTAAGTGTGAACCAGGAGTGACGCCCACCACCAAAGACCTTTCATAGAACAGTGAAGTGTTAAGAGCAAGCATTCCAGGAAGAAGACTGCCTGGGTTCAAATGCTAGCTCGGCATTTACAAGCTATGTGACCCAGGGCAAGCCACTTAACTTATCTGGGCATCAGTATCCTCAAATGAAAAAGGGGAGCAATAACTAGTTTGTACATTTCAGGGACTGAATGAATGTTACAATACCTGACACACAGTACTAGTCTAAAAAGTTTGGGTATTGTTCATGCTTTCTATCCCTTCAGGAGTGCTGCGTTCTCAGAAATTAGCAAATGACTACTGAGTAACCTGAGTTCCGGCTGAGGCACAGAGAAGCAGGCTTCCAAAGTCCTGAGGCAGTCAGCTCCCATATGCTGATACAACCACACTGCTTGTAAGGTTTCAGATGGCTTCATCACCACAGAATAAATCTTACTAGCTTCCACTCCAGAGAAAACGTTTCTTTACTGGCTTCTACCAGAATCCAGAATCCACACTTTAGAGAGCTGGCACTGAATGCTAATTTTTTTCCCCAAGAATCACTCAACTGGCAACTTCCTCACTGCTTCGTCTTATTCCTAGAAGTAGCTGAGGCTGTGTTCAGACAATCTGGCAATTAAAGAAACCCATTCTCTCTCTCATAGGAGAGTGCCCGAAAGTGTTTTTCATTCCATGAGGACCTTAACCGGCCAGATGAAATGGGGCTGTCATGTTTCAATCCATCTGATCTAAGTACTCAGCTAATTTTTTTTTTTTTTAATTTAAGAAACAGGGTCTGGCTCTGTTGCCCAGGCTGGAGTGCAGTGGTGTGATCATAGTTCACTGCAGCCTGGAAGTTGGGATTACAGGTGTGAGCCACAGCACCCTGCAAATTTTGACAGGCATTGTTTGTCAATATGTAACAAGTTTTATAATTTTTATAGCTGACAACATAATTCCACTTTGGAGAACACATCCAAGGAAGTCAGTGCCTCCTTTGCCCCTTTCCCAACGAAAGTAATCTGTACAAAGTGATTCACAGCAGTGTTGCTAATAAAACAGTGAGAAATGGAGCTAATATAAGTGTCCATCAATCACTGGATGATTGAGCAAATAACAGTTTCTCAACCTGAGGAAAACCCATCTGACCAACAATAATACATAAAAATAATAATAACAGCAATCATTTTCTGAACACTGACTATTAATGAGATAAGATGCTGGAGGCAGCCAGGCGCAGTGGCCCACACCTATAATCCCAGCACTCGGGGAGGCCGAGGCGGGAGGATCGTTTGAGCTCAGGAATTCGAGACCAGCAGAAGCACACAGCGAGCCCCTGTCGCTACACAAACGAAATTAGCCAGCCGTGGTGGCGTGTGCCTGTGGTCCCAGCTACTTGGGAGTCTGAGGTGGGAGGGTTGCTTGGGCCCGGGAGGTCGAGGCTGCAGTGAGCTATGATCTCACCACTGCACTCTAGCTTGGGCGACAGAGTGAGACCTTGTCTCTCAAAAAAAAAAAAAAAAAAAAAAAGATGTTGGAAGCTATTATACGTATTATCTCATTGATAATTTCTTTGTGAGATAGTTATTTGTTTTACAAATAAGAAAACTGGGGGCTCAGAAAGGTTCAAGCTTGTGTTTCAGGAAATAAAATAATGAAAAACAAATAAAACAAAAAAGAAAGGTTCAAGATACCTTTAGAAAGCTGGTATTCAAACTAGTCCACCATGTACCAGATGAGTGACCTTAGACAGGGAACCATTCTGGGCCTCAGTTTTCTCATCTGTAAAATGGGGCAATGATACAGCACCCAAATCAAAAGGTTAATGTGAGGATTAAACTAGTTACCAAATTTAAAGTATTGAGAGTAGTCCTTGGCACCCAATAATAAAGGCTATTTTCCCTGCCATTAAGCCACAGACTTCAGTCACATCAGTCTACTGCTTTCCTCCTAAACACATCATGTTCTTTCACATCCTTCTTGCCTTTTTCACACGTGTTGTTTTTCAAGTCTACCACTGACTCACTGTGACTGCATGTTATTAATGTGAAGCTCCTTAGAGCAGAAATTCCATCTGCAGTTCTTCAGGGTATGGAATGCTAATTTGCTTGATAAATATTAAACCAAGGACCATTGCCTAAAATTAGTCATTTTAATAGTTGTACTGACATAACAAAGTTCAAGGTGACTCTTTAAAATGCATTTGGTGCTCCTTTCCTGTTCATTTAAATGCTGACTTCTAAGAAAAACTAGAGTTAGAAAGCTTTCTTTCTTTCTTTTCTTTTCTTTTTTTTTTTTTGAGACACAAGACAGTCTCACTGTGTCATCCAGGCTGGAGTGCACTGGCATGATCTTGGCTCACTGCAACCTCCACCTCGCCGGTTCAAGTGATTCTCCTGCCTCAACCTCGCAAGTAGCTGGGATTACAGGCATGCACCACCACGCCTGACTAATTTTTGTATTTTAGTAGAGATGGAGTTTTGCCATGTTGGCCAGGCTGGTCTTGAACTCCTGACCTCAAGTGATCTGCCTGCCTTGGCCTCTCAAATTGCTGGGATTACAGGGCCACCACAGCTGGCTGGGTTAGAAAGCTGTCTTAAAACAGAAAAGAGGAAAAAAAAAAAAAAAAAAAGGAGGGGGGTGGAGGAAAAATAATAAAAATAAAAAATAAAAAAAGATAAAGCTTTCTCCTTCCCAGTTTGCAGCCTCTCATCCTCCACCTACTCTCTTCTCACCCATAATTTATAATAATACTGACCTCAGGGCAGTCAAAGTAATCCTAAAATACTATATAAAATGTAAAGGATTGTTATTGCTACAAATAATACCAATCTCGCCTCTGCCTAAGTAATTACTGGCAGGAACTTGTCCAACAACATGGACAGACATGGTTTTTCTGTTCCTTCTCCTGCCCACTCCCAGGAAAAATACTGAACTTCACAGATTAGGGACCATATATAATCTCACAACTGGAAAAAGATGGACAATGCAAAGTTATAAATAAAAATGAGATTAGTAGACAATATGAATTTTGGCATATTCTCAGGGCTTCGGAGATTTGGGTGGTTTGCCAAGGGATAGAAACCAATCAATTCTACAACACTGGGTTCTCAGAAGCCTACAAAAGTCAGGAGGAAAATGTGCCTTTCAACACTTTGCCTGGGGTAGGTCTCATACCTATGAAAGAGATCTACCTACAGAGCCTATGTCATTTTCTACCTTCATTACTCTCTTCTTGTTCCAGCAAAAATCAGCTAAACTTGGTAGCAGCTTGAAGGCTAAATTAAAAGTCTTCAAAGAGGTGAAAGCAGCTATGTCATTTGGTAAATTTCCTTAGTAATATTCAGAATTTAGAAGGAACTCCCAGAATCCATCCAATGCTACGAAGATGTTGACTAGAAGGGAAGAAATGGAGGACTGGTAGTGGTAGGGGCAGAGTAGAGATCAGTCCTGCATCTTCTCCCACCAAGTCAGCTTTCATAAAAGGCTTCCGTTCCATCATTTTTCACAGGGGAGTATGGAAAGGTAATCACTCTAATAAAGTGACTTCCTTTGCTCACACAGTGTGCATGTGACCTGCTCATTCCAGCACAGGGCCACGCCACTCTTTGCCCCTATGTCTTTTGTTGGAAGGCAGGGAGGCTGCCAGGTGAAGCTGGAAGCACCCAGAGACCAAGGTTGCTTCAACGCCTTTCTCTACAGTGTTGCAAATACAGCCGTAGTCATGGTAGATGAATTTTGGGAAGATGGAAGAACAAAACCTCTAAGGTCTCTTACAGCATTAAATTTCCATGAAATCTTACCTGTCTGTACTGGGATTTGGAGGCTAAGTAAACTGCTTTTCCAATGTTCTGAGCATAAAGTTCTTTGACTCATACTCAAAAATCGGGAAAGATGATTTTTTTTAAGATGGTGGTTTTCAAACTTTTTAAAAAGCGGCAGAGCACTTGTTTTGTAAATGAAATCTTAAACGGAACCTTACTATAGTAAAAAGATAGATGGGGGCTCCTCTGGTTGCAGCGAGGGTGAGTGGCCAGGGGCTCTACCCTCTCAGTTGTCTCAGTTTGGGACATAATATGTGTGACCTACCCTCAAACAGTTTAGAAAATAAATATATATATAGTATGTTTACACATACAGAGAAAACAGTGGTTCTCAAAGTGGGATCCCTGGAGGGGCATCAGCATCACTTGGGAACTTGTTTCTAAAAATAAAAATTATTGGGCCCTACCTCAAACCTATTAAATCAACTGTCTGGGGTAGGGCCCACGAGTCTGTGTTTTAACCTGAGACTTCCTAGTTGTTCAGACACAGGCTAAAGTTTGAAAACCACTGATACAGAAACAATGAGAAAACAAATATGGTGCAATGTTAAAATTGGCGAATCTGGGAAAAGGGCATAGGGAGTTTTCTGTATTATTCTTGAAACTTTTCTGTAAGTTTGAAATTACTTCAAAATAAAAATTAACAAAAACAACAAAATTACCCTGGGACAATAAGCATGGAGATGTGGAGAGGGGACCCAGGAGGTAGGGAGGCAAATCACGAGGTTAGTGCAGGAACCACTCAAGAGTGACGTGATTTACAACTAAGACTGTAGCAGCTCCAGGGCCGAGTGAGAACAGGATATCCGCAGTCTTCAAATATAAATCTCTCCCTTGTAGAACATCTGGGCAGCAACCATACTAACCTGAATAGGAGAGACCGGCAATCTCTATGAAGAGGTCTTCTTCAGAAAAGCTTTCGGGGAGCATGAGGAAAGCAGCGGTCACAGCACTCTTCAGATTTCTATCGAGGGCTGATCTAAGAGTGACATCCTCGTTCACTGAGATAATTTTCACCTGAAAGAAGCAGAACATTGGGAAGAAAAATTCCAGAAGTGGAGTATTGCTCAAGCATGGGTTACAAATGCACTGGAACTATCTCAAACTCTCTTCCCACTGAAGATCTTGGAATACTGGTTCAGGTGACACAAAATTGTTCCTCTAATAAGTAATCCCAGAATCTCCTTGTTTTATGCCAAGGTCAAAGAAATCATGACACAGGAAAGGATCAAAATGCCAAAGAAAACAAATATTCTTCTTAAATGAGGAAATGCAGCATAGGTTTAGAAAAAGAGCAAAAGTCCTTTGGAAACTTTAATATTTTTAAATTTTATAATCTCACTGTCGTCACTTAATTTTTTAGTCGACAGAGGCATTTTACCTCTTTATTTAGACCTCATCTGTAATCTTGGACCATATCTAACATAGGAAGTTCATGCTCTATTTCGCACTTTCTAGATACATCGATTTTGAACTTGACTAAGGAAAAATGAAAGAAAACTAGCTACAGTAGAAAAAGAACGGGTTTTAGAGATAGGTATGGGCTCAAGTCCAGGTACTTACTAGCTATGTGAGTTTGGGCAAATGATTTGCATCAAAGAATCGTCACAAAGATTGACTATAATAATAAATGTAAAGTGCCTAGAATACTAGCAACTGCTTCGCTCAGAAAGAATTTTTCTCCTCAATACAGAGTAGAAGCTTCCATCTGAGACTTTCTGCAAATCCATTAAAATACAAAGAGTGACTGGGTGTGGTGGCTCACATCTGTAATCTCAGCACTTTGGGAGGCCAAAGCAGGGGGATCATGAGACCAGCCTGGGCAACATAGTGAGACCCCATCTCTATAAAACAAAAACAAAAAAAACAAACACCTAGCCAGGCACAGTGATGCACATGTGTGGTCCCAGATACTCAGGAGGTTGAGGTAGGAAGACAGCTTCAGTCCAGGTGGTTGAGGCTGCAGTGGGTTGCAGTGAGCCATGATCATGACACTACACTCCAGCCTGAAAGACACAGTTGAGACCCTGTCTCAAAAAAAAAAAAAAATACTAAGAGCTTCAGTCTGTTCTGAGATTCTTACTTTTAAAGATTGCACTGCAGTTAAGAGATGTGTTCAAATGCCAACTCCATCTCTTACTAGCTCTGTGACTATGGGCATAATTCCTTATCAGTAAAATGGAGTAAATAACAGAATCAAGCTCATAAGGCTGCTAGAAAGATCAAGTGAGTTACTGCACACAAACCCTTCAGTGAAATGAGCTTCCTTGTGTGTGCTTCTCAGTGCACAAGGCAAGAGCTTCTCTGGGCCAGCGGTTCTCATCTTTAGCTAGCATTAGCTTCACCTGGAGAACTCGTTAAAATGTGTATTATCGGATGCAACTCCCAGAGTTCTGTTTCAGGAGGCCTCGGTGAGGGCTGAAAAATGTACATTTCTAACAAGTTCTTAAGCAATGCCCAGGGACCACATTTTGAGAATTACTGCTCTAAGGTGCATACTTAGCACTGTCAAATTGCTCTTCAGAGTGGTTATGCCAATTTACACTCGTACCATGATCTTTTAAAAACATCATACTGTTTCTGATTGACTTTCTATACAAAGTAAAGGGTCTAGAAGTCCCTTAATAAGGACTCTCATATGTCTAAAATATATCTACCATCTCTAAATCTTTTGGTACTATCGACACATTTTCTACCTATTCTAGAAAACAGGGCATAAGTTGCCTTTTATTTGTCAAATACAGATAATTTCTGACAAAATTAAGATAGCACATAAAAGACACACTATGAGAAACTCCAAAATAAATATTAGAAAGCAAGGAAAGAGGAGAATGCTGCAGTATTCCAAGGCATAGCTTCTTCTCTTCTAATTGTAAAAAACAGTATTATAAAACATATAACTATTATTTTATAAATCAGGCTTCAGAATCTGAATTCTTTTACCTTTTTTCCCTACTTTTTTCTAAGGGAGTATTTGTAACATACAAACATCATATATGGTAGGTAAGCCACTTGATTCAATAACACCCCCTCCTCCCTTACAATTCTGAGGACTTAATGGACCTTAATTAAGCCTTTCAGCACTTAGGTGAGTTTAGTATTACTGCAATCATCTGCAGAGAGTAACCCATGACCAGCCAGGAACATGACTTGCCTACAGTTGCATAATGAGTTGACAACAAAAATCAGGATCACATTCTTTTACTTGGCAAATTCAGCTCTAAATATTCTGAATTATTCTCATGCATTCATTTAGGGTTATATTCTGGTTAACTTATCTTGAAAGATGATTAAAACAAATTTTAAGGTCCTATAAAAACACCTATGCTTATTCCTTGAATAACTTTCCTAAACCTTATAGAGTTGGCTCTTCGTATCTGTGGGTTCTGCACCCATGGGATTCAACCAATCACAGATGGGAAACATTCAGAAAAACAAAAAAAAAAAATCCACAAAGTTCCAAAAAGCAAATGTTGAATTTGCTGCCACATGCCAATTACTACGTTGAAGGCAGGCGAATGATGTGAAGTGTAAGCACGGTATTAGGTATTAACAGTCATCCAGAGATGATCTAAAATATAAAGGAGGATGTGCATAAGTTATATGCTAATACTAGGCCATTTTATATCAGAGACGTGAATTCTGAGGGTGGGTGCAGGTCCTAAAACCAATCCCCATGGACACCAAGGGATGACAGTATTCCATACTGAATGATTAATCTAGGAGGGCAACTGCTTCATCTTACTGACAGAAAACTTAGGCCTGGAGGGGTTAAAGGGGTTAAAAGATTTCTCCAAGAGAAGTAGTGGCGAACTGGACCGGGATCCAGTCCCAGGATTCACCCAGTGCTCTTTCCACAACTCTGTGATGTCTCTCTACTTCCACATTCCCGTTCTTCATCCCCATTCATCACACATCCTTCTCAATAATTCTTCACCTCTCTGTTTTTGATGGCTTTTACAGAAGCCCAGTGAAATTAGAAGCTATTTTGAGATGCTAACAATTCAAAGATGCAAAGAAAAGACTAAGTCTTGGGAAATTTTCCCAGTTAACAAAATACCACTTGTTCTCCAAGGAAGTTGTTCTACATAGGCTGTAAGAAAGCAGTCTGTTTGCTATTTAAGATTAAGAGGATGAAAATAAAAGCATCCTTACTCAAAGGAAAAATGTCAGTTCGGAAGATTCTGCTACTGTGCTGATCTGGTTCTTCAATGAAAGGTGAACTAGGAACTTGTCTCAGCAGCACTGTTATTTGTTGTTCAGAGTGAAAAGCCAGTGAACTCTTGGGACACTGCCAGAGAGGCCTGGGAAAAAAAGAAAGTGCTCAGATTTGTGAATAGCTGTTTGTATCTTACTGGGAATGCCCCGACCTGAACTGCATAGATAACATTAGCACGACTGCCAGGGAGGAAAATCTTTACTGTAGAGAAAGGGGCATTGGCTTAAAGGGACTTTCAAAGGAGATATTTGTGAGTACCTTTCAAGACAGGAAAAAAGAGAAACTCACATGTGGGCTCCTCTAAAACTGTCACAAGGAGAGACTACTTGAATTGCAGAGTGAAATTTTAATCACAAAGACCACAGCCCTACCTACTGTTCAAATACTCAACCGCCCACCAGAACTTTTCCATTCCAAACGACCAGGAGGTTTAACTCTTCTAAATAGTCACTGCTTAAGGATGAAGAAGAAACGCTGAACATTAGAGCTGGATGAAACCTTACTCAATATCTACCTGCTGGACTCTGGGCTCTTCGAGGACAAGCAACATGATATCATTTTTAAAAATTCCTTTGGCATACACAGAGAAGAAACAGTTGTCTTTTGAATAAAGAAATGAATGACTCAATCTGTGCATTTCAAACGCTAGCGGCCCAAACATTTGCTTATAGTAGGGCAGAGCCAAAACTAGTAAGCCAGGTTTTCCAACTCCCAGTTTAGGGATCTTTTATAGCACTGGGGGTTTTTCTATCCACACAAAAAATTAATCAACAAAGCTGCAATATGGTGATAGTTGAACTCTGAATATAGTAAAAATCATTGAATTGTACTCTTTAAATGGTTGAGCTGTGTGGTATGCGAATTTTATCTCAATAAAGCTGTTATTAAAAAATAGGCCAGACAAGGGGGCTCATGCCTGTAATCCTAGCACTTTGAGAGGTTGAGGCAGGTGGATCCCTTCAGCCCAGGAGTTCAAGACCAGTCTGGGCAACATGGCAAAACCCCATCTTCACAAAAAAATACAAAAATTAGCTGGGCATGGTGGCACGTGCCTATAGTTCCGGCTACTCAGGAGGCTGAGATGGGAGGATTGGTTGAGCCCGGGAGGTCGAGTAAATTGTGTTCATGCCACTCCACTTCAGCCTGGGTGACAAAGCAACACTCTGTCTCAAAAATAAAATTAAAATAAAATAAAGCTACATTACTAAAAGGCAAAATATATTGCAATGAATACATTAAATCAAAATCCTCTTAACAAGGTGGCAAAAAAACCACTGCATGTCAATATAAATGTCTTAAAAACTCAAGCACAATTATTTATACACTAAAAACAATGTAAAATACAAAAATCCAAAATTATGTTAACTAAGGAAATAACTATTAATTATTACTTTAGAGGTTTCTTGGCTTAAAAAAAGTTTGGTCACAATGCTATATTAAACACTTTAAATTCCATGATTTTTTACTTGGGAAAATATTAGTAAACTCAGAAACTTAAGGTTGTACTGGAAATAAAAATAGGGTATTCCATCAATTATGAGATAAGTTAATGGTAAAGTATGATAAAAATTTAATTTACACTCAACTTTTCCCAGAAAGTCCATCTTTTTAAGCAAGATACTCAAATATATATATTTGGAGACATGGTCTTGCTCTGTCATCCAGCTTGGAGTGCAGTGGCATGATCTTGACTCACTGCAACCTCCACCTCCTGGGTTCAAGTGATTCTCCTGCCTCAGCCTCCCTAGTAGCTGGGATTACAGGTGCGCACCACCTCGCCTGGCTAATTTTTGCATTTTTTAGTAGAGACGGGGTTTCACCATGTTGGCCAGGCTGGTCTCGAACTCCTGACCTCAGGTGATCCCCCTACCTCAGCCTCCCAAAGTGCTAGGATTATAGGCATGAGCCACCGCACTCGGCCTATATCCCTTTTAAAGACTTGAATTACTAGTGATTGAGGAATTCTATTTCAATTTGCAAGATGCAAGACAATTCTGGGGCTTTAGACAATGTAATTTAATGTGATTCCTTTTAAAACACAAAGATAAAGAATTCATACTCATATTCTCATAATTCTTTCTTAAGATATTTACCCAACTTTCTTGTCCAAGATACTACCACCCTCTTTTCATTAGATTTGTTCAAGTCTGATTAATATTTGCTGCCACCTAGAGGCACAGATAGTTTGTTTAAAAATCATCATTCTGGTTAACAGTGATTTCCACATGTTGAAAATTGGGAGCAAGGTAGAAGAGAGAGTTAATTTGCCCATTTATCATTCTCAATTAAAAAAAAAATATGTTCATCACTTTCAAATGACTTTATGATACCCTAATTTTCTTGTGCTAGAAGCATTAAAAGCCTTAGAAAATAATCATTGCTATCAGTAACATTTTCTTCTCCAAGTCAGCTGAGAAATGCAGAGTTTTGCATGAAATGAGCATGGGTGCTACTACTTGTCTTGAATTGCTGTTTTTGTTTTATAAGGATATAACAGTTAGATAAAACCTGAGCTCATTTCCAGTGCTTACATTCTGAGATTTCATGGCATTTCAGCTTTCTAAAGCCTTTTTTAAAATTTTGAAACATTCTAAGCATAAAGTATAATACAAAGAACAATACAACATTTTAACATTCAATTTCATTTCTATCTCAAAATAACTGAGATAAGCAAAGGCACAGAGAGAAGGCAAAGACCATTTTCTGAGTGTCTACTAAGTACCAGGCATTTCAGAACCCTCTGAGGTCAGCGCCATCAGACTCATCTACAGATGAAAACACCCCGAGGCTTAGGGAGACTGTCAGTGGTGCAGGGTCACAACATTAGGAAGCATCAGAGCTGGGATTCTAACCCTACATCTGTTAGATTCTGAAACACTGAGTTCTTCCCAGCAGTACTACTCTGCTTCCAATATTCCTTTTCCTTTTTTTTTTTTTTTTTGAGACTGGGTCTCGCTGCGTCACCTAGGCTGGAGTGCGGAGTGCAATGGCACGATCTTGGCTCACCTCTGCCTCCCAAGTTCCAGCGATTCTCCTGCCTCAGCCTCCCGAGTAGCTGGGATTACAGGTGCATGCCGCAACGCCCAGTTAATTATTGTATTTTTAGTAGAGATGGGGTTTTGCCATGTTGTCCAGGCTGTTCTCGAACTCTTGGCCTCAAGTGATCTGTCTGCCTCAGCCTCCCAAAGTGCTGGGATTACAGGCATGAGTCACTGCACCCAGCCCTGCTTCCAATTTTCAATACCTTTGTGGACCTTTATTCTACAGATAACTGAAGTTCAGAAAGATAAAACAAGATGCCTAAGTTTATGTAACAGCTAATAGGTGGCAGGACTGAATATGACTCAAGGCTTCTAATTTCATGTCCACTATTCTTCCCATCAAGCTATATATTATGTTTTTGTTTGTTTGTTTTGAGACAGAGTCTCGCTTTGTCACCCAGGCTGGAGTGCAGTAGCGCAATCTCGGCTCACTGCAACCTCCACTTTCTGGGTTCAAGTGGTTCTCCTGCCTCAGCCTCCCGAATGGCTGGGATTACTGGCGTGTGCCACCACGCCTGGCTAATTTTTGTATGTTCAGAAGATCTGGGGTTTCACTATGATGGCCAGGCTGGTCTCGAACTCCTGACCTCAAGTGATCCACCCGCCTCAGCCTCCCAAAGTGCTGAGATTACAGGCGTGAGCCACAGTGCCTGGCCCATCTTTTGTATATTTAAAACAAACAAACAAAACAAAAAACAAAACAAAAAACCCTTGGAAATAAAATATTTACAAATTTCCAACTGCTCAGTTATGAGCTTTACTAGTCATCCAACTTAGAAATGAGAAATGTATCTGTATAGACATGAAATTTCAGTAAGCCTATCATTTCTGGACTTTAAAAAATGTTTTTAATTAAAGTAAAAGTTACAGTGAAGTGCACACATCTTAAGGGTACAGTTTGATAAATTTGTCCATGTGTATACCTGTGTAACCCCTGCCCGGATCGAGTATTTCTGGACATTTTAAGGAGCTACACTATGAAATTGTAAGCCCAGGTGCAAAGCAGGAGAATCCAGACAGCCCATGCACATCAATAAAGAGATGTTTATGACACAAACCAGTGAGCTAAGGCTATGGAAATCTGTCATTTTTCCCATAGATAGCTACAGAAGCAGCACATCACTGTTGGGGGAGACACTCGAGAACAATCTATCGGCCTCTTGTGGAGCCTGGGACCCTCTCACGCACAGTGAAAATCTTCCTTATAGTAGGAAGTGTGAGATTAGCAACTGTAAATATTTAACACAGTCCTCAAACTATGGAAAGACCCTTTCTCAGAGCACAGACTGATTATCTGGAAAAAAAAAAAGAAGAAAGAAAAGTGACATTGCAAATACTTGTTAAAAGTTTAAGTTCTCTCCCACTTTTTTTTTTTCCTGTTTTGTGTTTGTTTCCTGTTTCTACTAAAGCCCAGGGAGAAGCCGACTCCCCACAGCCTCCTCTAGCTGTGTCCCAAAAGAGCTAAGACAATAGAGAAAGCATCACCACTGGCCTGAGAAAGAGAATAAAAGGGATGGGAACACCAGTCCCTTGGAATGACTACTTGGTGCATTCATTTATTCAATGGTTACTGAAGGATCCCACGACTCAGGCACTGCCCTTGGGACGCATCAGTGGACAAACGGTGCCTCCATGATACATGTCCTAGCAGACAAGGTGACTGGGTGGTGCTAAGGGAGGCTCCACTGAGGCACCAGGCACCTCCTCTGCCACCCTTCCCCCAAATGGGTCAACTTGGAGCCCGATCCAGTCATTGGAGAATCTTGAGGGGGAGGGCAGCAGGAGGGAGAGTGGACTGTGACCCGGCTTCTACTCCCAGCACTTCTGACACCAAATGTGGGTGTCACACCAACCAATTCTCCAGCCCTCCAGACACCAACTGAGTGTCCTACAACTGAATTCGATTCTGACCCTAGCTACCTGGAGTCAGAGTCAGATCCCACAGGTTATGGGCTCAGTTCCACAAGCCTCCCCCACTTCAGACACCAATCACAAGTCCAGGCTGCCTGTACTCTGATCGTTCACTTGAAAGGGATGGGGGCTACTTCCCCTCTCCTCTGGTTTCATAATTTGCTAGAATGGCTCACAGAGCTCAGGAAGGCAGTTTTTTGTTGCTGTTGTTTTTAAGACGGAGTCTCACTCTGTCGCCCAGGCTGGGGTGCGGTGGTGTGATCTCGGCTCATTGCAATTTCCATCTCCCAGATTCACGCGATTCTCCTGCCTCAGCCTCCCCCAGTAGCTGGGATTGCAGGCATGTGCCACCACGCCCAGGTACCTTTTTTGTATTTTTAGTAGAGACGGGGTTTCACCACTTTGGCTAGGCTGGTCTTGAACTCCTGACCTCAAATGATCCGCCCACCTTGGCCTACCAAAGTCCTGGGATTACAGGTGTGAGCCACCACACCCAGCCGGGAAGGCACTTTTCTTGCATGTACTTGGTTATTATGAAGGACACAACTGAGGAACCGCCAAATGGAAGAAATGCTTGGCAAGATATGGGGTAGCAGAAGGGTGTGGAGCGCCACGACTTCTCCGGGCATGTCACCCTCCCAGCACCTTGATGTGCTTACCAACCCAGAAGTTCTCAGAACCCCCTTTTTTTTATGGAGGTTCCACTGCCTATGCACAACTGATTAAATCATTGGCCGTTGGTGATTGGCCCAATCTCCAGCCCTTTTCCCCTCTGTGAAGGTGGGAGTGGGGGGCCTGAAAGGTCCAGCCTCTTATCACACGGCTGGCTCCCTGGCAACCAGCCCTATCCTGAATCTATCTAGGGGCCCATCAAGAGTCACTTTATTAGTATAAACTCAGGTACGACTGAAAGGAACTTGTTATGAATAATAAAAGACCCTCTCATCCCTAACACTCAGATATTCCAAAGATTTTAGGACCTCTGAACCAGGAGCCCAAGGAAAAAAACCAAATACATATTTCTTCTTATATCACAATAGAATATGTGGATATTATTTGGCAATAAATTTTATAGGGAATAGGAAGAGTCAGAAACTCATTTCTATTTCCAGAGTTCCATCTCATTGCAATCACAATGATCAAAGTAAGGTTAGGCTCAGAGAGGAAAGGCATCCTTAACTGTGCAGCCTATAAAACACTCACCGGTTTTTGGAGTCGTCCAGCAATGTATAAGTTATTCCAGTTGAGGAGATCTTCAATCAGAACGTTAGTGCTAATAACTCCATATTTGATAAGCTGAAGGAAAAAAGAAATGGCACAAAACGGAGTAAAATACCATGTTATTGCTTATACAAGTATAAAATATAAGGAAACAGATAAAATTCTTGACCAGAGCAGTACCTTGATTCCAAAGCCACTCAAAACACCTGACTTGTGAAAACACACATCTCCACCAAAACTTTTGAGAGGTTAAGTGTCCAAGACTGATTTAGCCCCTAGGGTATGTAAGGGGAGGTTGCAACTGTCTTCACAAGATTATAACAGAGAAGTCTAGCATGGCTGACTCCATCTTGCTGCCAGCCTCACAGGCTGGCTATCCAAGCTCATGCCTGGGCGTAGGTCAAGCCAACCAAGGAGGAGGAATATAGTTTATAGTTTAATTTTAAAGCAAGGATGATAATAGTCCCTCCCTAAAACTGTTCCCCTCCCCAGTCCAGAGCTGAAATCCCCTTTGTAAAACTAATGAAAGTCCACAAGATTAGGGTTATGGGAAGGGCCTGAATTCTGCTAAAATGTTGGGATAGTTTCTATGATGTCTTACTGCTCAGGAGACATGTGTCCAGAGGTCACAAGACTTGTGAGTTCTCCAATTAATCCTATAGATAACATCACTACTGTAGAACCTAAGGTTGGTCTTTTGAGATGTTTTCAGACTTTTGCATTCCAGCAACTGACTGACCCCACCCAGAACCATGACTCAACACTCAATTGGTCCTGTTGCCCCTCCCTCAGCAAAAGGCCCACTCAGCCCATGAGGACTGTTTTCCACACCTGTATGATTGCATCCCCAACCAATCAGCAGCACCCATTCCCTAGTCCCCTGTTCACCAAACTATCCTTCAAAAACCCTAACTGCCGAGCTTTCAGGGAGAGTGATTTGAGTGACAACACCAGTTCTCCTGTGTGCCCAGCCTCACGTTAATGTTAATTAAACTCATTTTTTTTTTTTTTAAGATGGAGTCTCACTCTGTCACCCAGGCTGGAGTGCACTGGCGCAATCTCAGCTCACCACAACCTCCGCCTCCTGGGTTCAAGCCATTCTTGCACCTCAGCCTCCTGAGTAGCTGGGATTACAGGCACGCGGTACCACATCTGGCTAATTTTTTGCTATTTTTAGTACAGACAGGATTTCATCCTGTTGGCCAGGCTGGTCTCAAACTCCTGACCTCAGGTGATCCACTCGCCTCGGCCTCCAAAAGTGTTGGGATTACAGGTGTGAGCTACCATGCCCGGCCTGATTAAACTCTTTACAGCAATACCACAGTCACAGTGAACCGATTTTGTCCATGCGACAGGCAGGAAGAACCCACCAGGCAATTACAAGGTGACCACTATTTCAACTTAGGTCCATGTGATGTTAAAGGTGGAATGGCTCTTAGATGCTATCTAGTATTGGTCCTCAGTGGATTGGGAGTAAAAAAAACTTGTCCTTCCCCAAAGACAGTTTGAGAAGTGATAATTTAGTTCATGTTCCTCATTTGAGAAATAAAAAACCTAAAGCTCAGAGACAACAAATGACATGCTCAAGGTGGCACCAGTAGTAGCAGAGTCAAAACTAGGTCCCAGAATTTCAGTCTGGTCTTCCAATGCTCTTTTCATTACAAAGTACAAGAAATTTTCCTTTAATTAGAAGTTTTCACTGACATGCTTTACATAGTGAATTTCTCTTTTGCTACTGACTATTTCAAACACTTTTGTAATTACAAAGCAATATCCAAAAATAAAACTTCTTTATTCATGCTAAAAAAAGAAATTATAGTTCAGCCCATTTCTATTTTTTTTTTTTTTTTTTTTTTTTTTTGAGACAGAGTCTTACTCTGTTGCCCATGCTGGAGTGCAGTGGCATGATTTTGGCTCACTACAGCCCTAACTCCCTGGGCTCCAGTGATCCTCCCACCTCAGTCTCCAGAGTAGCTGGAACCACAGGCATGCACCATCACACCTGACTAATTTTTGTATTTTTTGTAGAGACAGGGTTTCACCATGTTGCCCAGGCTGGTCTTGAACTCCTGGGCTCAAGCAATCCATCCACCTTGGCCTCCCAAAGTGCTAGGATTACAGGCATGAGCTGCCGTGCCCGGACAGTTAAGCCTATTTCAATAATAATTTGTATAAATCCTGTAGATTTCCCAGGTTACAAAGTCCCATTTGCATAAACAAGTATCTTCAGACCCACTTTGCTGAACCTCAGTATCCAAACAGCCTTCTCAGGCTGCAAATATATAAAAAGCAGTTAAAAATTATCAATTAAAAAGTAGTCTTTTGGCATATAATTATGCCCAAACATTTGGTTACTGGAACTTATAATATTCTTTGAAAATTACTAATTACAGGTAGGTTTGGCATAATATTAACTGTGGAGAAAGAACAAAGCTAAGTGTCCTGCATGACTCAAGTGGATGCAGAAGGCTGTGCTGAGTGTCAGCCTTTTCCCCCCAACTCCAGCAGCAGCACTGCAGAAAGCCCTTCTAGCTGCAGGCAAGTAACCACTGGGAGGTAACAGAAACACCACGGGCCTGGAAGTCAGGGGACCTGTTGCAAACTAGCTGCACAACCTTATGGAAGTCATTTCCTCTCTCTGAACTTCAGTTTCCTCAACTGCAAAATACAGGTGAAGCAAGGTTGGATCTCAACCGGAAAAGCAAATATATGGCCCAAGGGGTATGCAGACGTCACCAGTCAATCACAACACTCACTCCTTAGCCAAGTTCAGACAGACCTTCAAATCCTTCTCAAGTCAGTACTCCAACCTCCTGCCCTTTAAAGCGTGGGCCTTTGACCAATGGCATTGGCATCACTTGGGAGCTTATAACAAATGCAGAATTACGCCTGTAATCCTAGCACTTTGGGAGGCCGAGACGGGTGGATCACCTGAGGTCAGGAGTTCGTGACCAGCCTGGCCAACATGGTGAAACCCCACTCTACTAAAAACACAAAAAATTAGCTGGACATGATTACAGTAGTGGGCTCTGTAATCCCAGCTACTCGGGAGGCTGAGGCAGGAGAATCGCTTGAACCTGGGAGGCGGAGGTTGCAGTGAGCAGAGATCGCACCATTGCACTCCAGCCTGGGCAACAAGAACAAAACTCCATCTCAAAAAAAAAAAAAAAAAAAGCAGAACCTTGGTGGGGCATGGTGGCTCACACCTGTAAATCCCAGTACTTTGGGAGGACTGTTTGGGGTCAGGAGTTCAAGACCAGCCTGGGCAACATGGCAAAACCCTGTCTCTACAAAAAATACAACAATTAGCCAGGCGTGGTGGTATGTGCCTGTAGCCCCAGCTACTTGGGAGGCTGAGACAGGTAGATGGCTTGAGCCCGGGAGGCAGAGATTGCAATGAGCGGAGATGGTGCCACTGCATTCTAGCCTGGGTGACAGAGCCAGACCCTGTTTCAAAAAAAGAAAAAGAAAAAAAAAAGGCAGAATCTCAGGTTCCATCTCAGACCAACTGAGTCAGGATCTGCACTGAAATGGGATCTCCAGGTGGCTCGATGCCGGCCAAAGCCTGACCGCCTTGAACAATGAGTGGCAGAGCTGGCACAGCAAGTGAAACCCATATGTCATCCCTGGCCCAGGGAAGCTCTAGGAAGCATCTGATTTAGACCCCTACTGATCCTTGCAGGCTGGGGTTCTGCCTAGGTCTTGACAGCTCTCTTGGAGACTGCGATGCTTCAGCTGAAAGACAGTTCAGCAAAGTTCCTGCTGTCAGATGAACCACCAGCAGGAATCCATGCAACTTACCTGCTCTCCAACAGCCCACTGTCAAATTCCACGCGTCTCCTGGCACCAAGAGGTTCCCGTCTATCACCTGACACACATGCTCTCAATCACCTGTGATATCCTCTTCACTTCCAACTTCTTCCTGGGGGTGTCTGCCCCTCCTTCTAGATAAAATCAATCTCCAACCTGACCCAAAATTGGCCTGCCTATTCCTCCCACTGACCAGACCAATGGTTCTAGACCAGCAGCTTCAGCACTGTTTGGAAGTGTGTTAAGAGATGCAAATCTTCAATCCCTACCCCAGACCTAGTGATCAGAACTCTGGGGGTGGGGCCCAGCAATCTGTGTGTCCAATGGACACACAACCTAGGGGATTCTGATGCACACTAAAACTTGAGAACCACTTGGCCAAAGACAAAAAAATAAAGTCAGTGTGGCCGGGCTCAGTGGCTCACGCCTGTAATCCCAGCACTTTGGGAGGCTGAGGCGGGCAGATCACCTGAGGTCAGGAGTTCGAGACCAGCCTGGCCAACATGGTGAAACCCTGTCTCTCCTACAAGGTGGCACACGCCTGTAATCCCAGCTAACTGGGAGGCTGAGGCGGGAGAATCACTTGAACCCGTGAGGCGGAGGTTGCAGTGAGCTGCGATCACACCACTGCACTCCAGCCTGGGCAACAAGAGCAAAACTCCGTCTCAAAAAAATAAAAAAAATAAAATAAGTCAGTCACACCCAACCACCTCCTCACACTGCAATGACAGTTAATGGGACATGAGGAAGGACTCCAGTCCCTGCTCTGTCCCCAAGTTCAAGACGTCTGGCAGGAGTGTGAATGTTTCCTGACTATAAGAATATACATACTATAAAAACATACATATTTCCCGACTATAACAACGTCCAGCAGGAGTGTGAATGTTTCCTGACCACAAGAACATACATATTTAGCTGGCACTCTAATAACCCAGGTAAATAACCAGCCAAGTTAAGACAAAGGCCAGCAGTCACTTACCCTACCATTACACATGATCAATGAATTGTAGTAAACTCCAGCGCCATAGTTATTCTGGATGGACGTGATAATCTTGGGCCCTAAAACTTTTAGGAAAGAGTAGTGACTCCAATTTTTCTTCAGGTTCTTTGAATGCCATGCGACAGGGTCATCTACTGTGAACACAAAGTCCAGCATAGCATTCTGTGGAGTGAAGAAAAGAGAATAATTTCAGTATTAATTCCTAGAAAGGCAGCAAGAGAGCATGGAAAAGCTCTAACATACTACGCAATTATGATCAATAGTCAGAAGGCCTGGTGCTGTCATCAGAAATGTGAGCGAGTCTCTGGAACAAATATGAGCTTTGTTTTCATCAATGTAATAATAGCAAACACTTCTTTAACATGTATTGTTGTGCCAGCACTCTTTAAACACTTTATGGGTAACATACGCAGTCACTCCATTTATCCTCAGCACAACCCTACAAGGTAGCTACTGCTATTATCTCAATTTTATAAGAAACCAAGGCACAGGGGATGCTCTTTGCCCAAGGACACAGAGCTTGTGAGTGGCAGACCTAAGAGGTCTGGCTCCAAACTGTGTGTGCTGAACCACTGCACTACACTGCCTTTCACAAATGTAGCTAAATGTGCTCCGCTTTTCTTCTGGATCAAATTAGCACCACCTGGATAAACTCTACAAAATACTATATAAAAGGAAGTCAGTTATTTTATCTCTTACCTATTCACCAACCACTTATTGAGTACATAAGTAATGAACTCTGACAGGCCCTAGGGTAGAAGTATAGAGCTCAGAGTCTACTGGAGAGAATAAACAAATTATCACTACATTGACTTGATAGAGGAATGCAAAATGTACTAACTGCACTCAGCATAGGGATCAGATCAGGGGCACAGGAGGGAGAAATTCTCCTAGAGATGACAAATCTGAGTCTTGAAGGACACGTGAGTTAAACAGACTTGCTGGAAGCACTGGGGGAAGCACAGGGAAGGGTAGGGAGCCGTGTTGGAGGAAAGTGCTCTGTGGATATGGGAGCCAGCATGTTCTGGAAGCTGCCGTCAGATATGACTGAAATAGAACACATTTATGCGGTGGGAGATGAGATCAGAGAGGGAGGCTGTTTGCCATGCTAGAAAATTTTCCTGCAGAAGAGCTGACTGGAGAGAAGAGGGACTAAGGGGGTGGGGGAATTAGATCTGAAGCCATGGCAAGATTCCAGGGGAGAAATGAAATTATATTAGCTAAGGCGCTAAGGATGGGGACTGATGTGAGAAAGATGTAGGTGTTGGAATCTACAACTTGTTCACTTGAATGTAAGGAATCAAAAGTGAGGGAATGGGAAGGAAGGACCTTTTCTTGCAGGGAATTCCAGGTCTATTCAAAGGAAAACCTCCATGGAAGAATGAAGAGGTGGCCATCAGGAGGCTAACGCCTGCTCTGTAGAGTGTGACTCTACAGACCACTGGGGACACTTGAGATTTGGTGGCGAGGCAGGTATGGAATAAACATGTTTTTTAAAAATGTGTAATTATGTTAAGGTAAATTCGGGAAAAATAACTAGCCTATAATAACCTATAATTTCTCATATGCTGCCAATTTAAAGAAAAATATTAAATAGTAGTGTAAGTGGGAAACAGAGGAAATCCAAGCAACAGCATAGATGGCCTCACCAGGAAGTGAACAGGCAGGATGTTAATCAGAAGACAGACTACAGTCAGGTATCCAGACGCAGGGGGCCCCATTAAAACCTGCACACTGAATTCTGCAAATTACAAGGAAAACTGTACCCTTACTGAGGCTGTGCTGAGCCAACTCTGAAAAGTAACAATGCCTAGTCTCAAACAGACCGTTGTTAAAAGTGCTGAGCGAGGGTAAATACACTGGTCACGCACTAACTTTTGATGTTAGTTACTTTCACTGCACCTGCCCTGGCCCTACAACCAGTCCGCCAACTTCCTGAAGTCAGAAGATCATTTTGCATTTTCTCCTACATTTATAGAGGTGACTCTCAACAAACTTGGCTGCGCATTAGAATCACCTGGGACGTTTCTTAAATTCCTGAAGCCCAGGCCTCATCCCAAACCAATTAAATCAGAATCTCCATCGGCGGAAGCCGAGCATTAGGATTTTCTTAAAAGCTCCCCAGAAAATTCCGATGTCCAGCCGACTAAAACACTGAAAGAACCTGATAACGATTTCTTTTCCTTTCTTCCATTTGCCCCTGCAGCAGTTTTTCCTTCTGCCTAACTGCTTCTCCTGCTCTAGACCCACGTGGATTCCTAAGTATCCTTCAACACCGTCGCTTCAACTCGCGCTGTCGTTATACTAGGAAGGCAGGCCTATGGTTCACTCTGCTAGTGGACACGTGGAGTGTGCAGAGCGGACAGGCAGCTCTCCGACTCTGAAGGAATCGAGGGCAAAACGGGACTCGTGAGAACAGACAGTTCCCCGTCGTGGGGCTGCCCGGGCTCACCTTCTGGTCTGAACTCGGCCCTGCCTGGCGGTACACCCCGGAGCCGTAGACGAAAGCCAGACTCAGCTCCTCGGGGAAGTGAGACAGGATCTTGCGGAAGGTCACCCACGAGCTCTGCAGCGTCTGCAGCGCCATGGGGTCGAGGCTAACAGGGGACACTCAGCGCAGCAGGGCGAGGACAACCGGGCGGGGAACAGACACCGGGTAGGCGGTTTAGGGTGGGAAATGGAAGTCGGAGACTGGATCGAGGGACACAAGGCTGAGTGTGGGGTGGGACTGCAAGCACACGCAAGGATTGGGGCGTTGGGCCACGAAGAGCAGCGGCGAGAAGACGCAGCCCAGATAGGCTCGGGTGGGCGGCGGTCGCACAGGCAGAGCTTCCGTCCCTTGCTACGCCCCACGCACGCACAGGCGCTTCCAAGACGCAAGAGGCGGTGCTCGCCTTAGTGTGGGGAACGCGAGGCTTTGCATTGTCCCCTCGTGGTCGGAGGAGTGCCCTACAGGCTGGCGGCTAGGTTGCGACTTGGACAAATCGGCGGAGGCGAGCGTCACCCGACTCCGCGGGCCCTGAGCCTTGATAGCCTCTGTACTTCTCTCTTCAAACTACGGTTTAAAGAATGACTATAAAATCGGGAGCGTATTGAAGGTTTTTAAGTGAGGCGACACTCACATAATATGGAACTAGCCGTTCTGAAATGGACAGTGTAGTAGCATGTAGTGCCTTCACAATATTGTGCCCCCATCATCGCTCTAGTTCCAAAATTGCAGATTTCGAAGATTTGGAAAAACACAAAATTAAAATGATGCCCAATCCCGCCATGTAGAGAATACCACCGTCAAGATTTGACGGAGACTTCTTCACGCTAAAGCCCTTTTCAAATACAAGGGTGGATATGGGAGTGCACAGACGTTCTCTGATACTTGCATTTAATTTCAAGGGTGGATCACAGTTTTTGCCCCCTTGCCTTGTGGAATGGTCTCACAAAGGGTGCTTCAAATGCAGTTTCTGGAGGAAACAGGACCCTAGGAGTAGAAAAATCTTACAGCTCTCCTCTTTGTATAACTGGAGAAACTTGCTGAAGATTACCATTCAGGAGGTGGTTTGACTTCCAGGACAGAAACTTTTTCAACTACCCTCTCCTTCCTCCCCAAAATACACTACCTCTCAAAAATAATAGAAATAGTAATAGCTAACATTCAGGTAATGTTGACACATTTTCACATGCACTTCTCACTGAGCACCCTCTAGTGCCCTGTGGCAGGAGGGCCTTGGTTTTACTGATGGCCAAGCTAAGGCTTAGAGAGGTAAAGCCAGGTGATAGGATCACATCAGCCTGTGGCAAAACTAGAGCTAAACCCAGGTCTGGCTCCAACTCTGGGATTTTTTCGGAAATTCTGCTCTGTCCTTGAAGGGTTTTGAGCAAGGACTTATGTAATTCACATGTTAGCCTGAATTGTGGGGGACTGATTAGACAGTTGTTATCATAGTTCCCCCATGAACTGGAAACGGCTAGGCCAAGGTCTTAGGAGCAGGGATGGGATTAAATCAATTGGAAAAATGATTACTTGCACTCACACTCTGGGCCTGCACTGAGATGAAGAGATCTGAGCTGCCTGCTGCCCTGCAGGAGCTAGGGGTCTGTAGAGGAGAGGAGACAGAACTGCAAATCAGAGTAGAATTTGGGTAATGCAGCCAGGTACCCAGCACAGTGCCGGAATGTAATGTCCCTCCAATGGGAACGTCAGTCAGTTCTGGGTGTTGGGGAAAGGGACCAGAAGAGGTTTCACAATGATGGCATTTTGAGCCAGGCCTGGAAGCTGGGTAGGAGTTTATCAGGTAGAAGATAGATGGGAAAATTCAACCAAGAAAGAATTGAAAGGACTCGGTGACAATAATACTAATAATAGGTGTCATTATTAAGCACTTAGTATGCCCAGGCACTTTTTAGACTTCTTTGGGGCTTTTCTGTTTTTGTTTTTTTTTTGAGACCGAGTCTTGCTCTGTTGCCCAGGCTGGAGTGCAGTGGCACGATCTCAGCTCACTGTGACCTCTGCCTCCTGGGTTCAAGCAAGCATGCCTGGCTAATTGTTGTATTTTTAGTAGAGATGGGGTTTCACTGTGTTGGCCAGGCTGGTCTCGAAATCCTGACCTCTAGTGATTTGCCCACCTCAGCCTCCCAAAGTGCTGGAATTACAGGCGTGAGCCACTGCACCCAGGCTTTTTATACTTGTTTCTTTTCATCACTCCAGAGATCCTATGAGGCAGGTTCTCTAAGATGATGATATTTTTCATACGAGGAAACAGAGGTCCTAAGAGGAGCAGTAAATGTTCCAAAGTCACACAGGAAAGTGGTGAAGTCGGGGTTTGAACCTAGGGCTACCTACCTCTAAAGGCCAAGGTCTTTACCACCATGTTTAAGTGTCCTCTACAGCGGCTTGCAGGGTGAGAGAAGGAAATGGGAAGAAAGCAGGCACTCAGGCATCAGCCAAGAGTCAGGAGCAGCAGCAGTAGCCGCAGCAACAAGCAGGAGACCAGGGCAAGGGAGCGGAGAGAGGCCGTTTGTCTGCGGCCCCTGGTGTGGGCATGGTCACTTCCGTTCATTTTTACTACATATCGCCCTTGCCCAGGGTGCCGGAATCAGAGTGCACTCACCGTGGAATTACACTGAAGCCTCTCACCCAAAGACAGTGAATAAATCTCATTACCAGCCGGTTCCTTTTTTATTTCCTTCCTTCCCTTGGGGAAATAATTCAACGTCATTGGATTTTTCCTGTTTGCAAAAGTAATCCATGTTCATAAAAATGTAAACATTATGAAATACATACATCATGCCCCAGAAATAGCCACGGTAATCTTTGGCACATATTCCTTCCAATATTTTTCTATGAATATATTAACATTAAAAACAATTTTAAGTGGATTCCTAGGATAGATACTATTTTGCAATTTGCTTTTTTTGCACTTAGCGTATCAGGGACAATGTTCTGTGTCAGAATATATAGATTTCCCTCATTCCATGTATTAGTAGCAAATTATTCTAAGATATGGATATGCCATAATTTTGTTTAAAATTTTTTGTTTAAAAGAAAGTGTTTAAACATTTTCTTTCTCTTTCTTTCTTTCTTCTTTTCTTTTGTTTCTTTCTTTTTTTTTTTTTTTTTTTGAGAGCGAGTCTTGCTCTGTCACCCAGGCTGGAGTGCAGTGGCACAATCTAGGCTCCCTGCAACCTCCACCATCCGGGTTGAAGTGATTCTCCTGCCTCAGCCTCCTGAGTAGCTGGGATTACAGGTGCCCGCCACCACATCTGGCTAAGTTTTGTATTTTTCGTAGAGACAGGGGTTTCACTATGTTGGCCAGGCTGGTCTCGAACTCCTGACCTCAAGTGATCCACCCGCCTCGGCCTCCCAAAGTGCTGGGGTTACAGGCATCCTGGCCTGTTTAAACATTTTATTGTTGATGGATGTAGGTTATTTCTAGTTTTCACACCTGCAAACAATGCTATCATGAGCATCCTTGTACATTTTATGTGCATGAACAAGTATTGCTATAAGACAGATTCCTAGAAGGGGAATTGCTGGGTCAGAGTGTCAGCACGCTGCTAAATTCCCCTCCAAAAGATGGTGCCAATTCACACACCCACCAGCAGAGTTCAGCCCTTGATAGAAATAAAGATGCTGCAATGTTTCTCCATTTGTCTCCCTTACAGGCGTTCACACCCAATTATCAGCAATTTTCATGTTCACAAACACTTTTCTTCCTGCAATGCAAAACCACCAGCTGGAAGGTTCCATCACATTCCTGTGTGCATTTTGCCTTTCCCCAGAAAGAGGCAGAAGCAACGTAGCCACGAACACATTTGTATTCTTCAGCAGAAATCTCCCTGCTCCTGGCCCTTCATCCACCCACTCTCTTTTAAATTACCATGGCTTGTGAAATTAGAGGCTATTAGGAAGACCCAGTGTTCTATATAATCGCTTTAGGGTTCTGTTGGAAAGCTTATACCAATGAAATAAACATGTTAGAGAGCCACTTACAAATATAGATAAATGCCTGGTGACTCGAGTGAATATTGGGCCTCATTCTTCTGATTTATCTAGCAGTTGTCTTTGTATTCCTTAATAATGACCTTGTCAGGCTTTCACTAGGAGAAGGTTCATCGAATCCATGTAATCCATTTTTTTTAAAGCCCTGTAAAAAAACATCTATGGCTTTAATGCTTTTTTTTTTTTTTTCTAATCAGTGTTTAAGTACAGGAGAGAAAAATGTTTGGGGAAGAATAAAAATCCAGGCTCAGTGGTTCTTACAATTAGCCACATGTTCAATTGGTCTGCTGATGGAGGGGAAGGAGAGGGGTCTTGATCTCCATCTTGTCAGAGGTGGGTCACCCTGTCCCATTTGTCCATTCTCGGCTGATTGATGGTTAGAACTGGGACAGACTGGGAGCATTTTTTCGTTTTTTCTTTTCTTTTCTTTCTTTTCTTTTCTTTTTTTCTTTTCTTTTCTTTTTTTTTTTTTTTTTTTTTTGAGACAGGGTTTCACTCTGTCACCCAGGCTGGAGTGCAGTGGCACGATCTCGGCTCACTGTAACCTCTGCCTCCCAGGCTCGAGTGATCCTCCCACCTCAGCCTCCTGAGTAGCTGGGATTACAGGCATGTACTACCACACCAGGCTAATTTTTGTATTTTTGTAGAGAATGGGGTTTCACCATGTTGTCCAGGCTGGTCTTGAACCCTTGAGCTCGAACAATCCACCCACCTAGGCCTCCCAAAGTGCTGGAATTACAGGCGTGAGCCACTATGCCCAGCCAACTGAGAGCATCTTAATACATCTTTAGTGTCTGATCAGGGGCTTGAAGGTACCACCTGGGTTGGAATCCAGGCCCCAGGATTTAATAGCTGTGTGACCTTGGACAAGAAGACTTAGCCTCTCTGTGCTTTCCTTTCCTCATCTGCAGCCTGGGGAGAGTAATGACACCTCACTCACAGGGTTGTTGTGACAGCAAATGAAACAGTATCTAGAAAGTACATAGAATAGTGCCTGGAGTAAGCTTTCAATAAACGGAGGACATCCTCCTGAATTCTTAAGAGACAATGTACAAAAGGAATTAAGAAGCATAATTATACCTACATCTTTATGGCGTTTAGCATTTTACACAAAGCACTTTGCAGACATGATTTTATTTAGCTCTTAAAACAAATCCTGGGAAATTAGTAGCTACTATTTCAGTTTTACAGATGGATAAACTGAAGCTTAGAAAAAAGAATTGATGTGCCTGAAGTCACAGGGCTAATGGCAGCTGCTAATACAGCCTCCAAGTCCAATCCCTTTCCTCTTGCACGAGAAAAATAACACGGGGTGTTCATTTCACCAAGGGACCCATTCATTCATTGATTCATTCTCCCATTGAAACCTTCCTCATCCTTTAGTCCCAGCTCAGCTATCAAAGTGTTCTGTTCTCTGTGCCTTCCTAACCCTTTGCTTTTAGCTCTCTAGCTCTTGTCTTAAATATCAGATATGTCCATCAAGTACAATTATAAAAGGCTTAGGGGCCCTTTGAGGTCAGGAACCATATCTTATTAATCTTTCTGTCCTTTAGTGCCTAGTACAGTGCCTGAAACAAAATTTCTGCATTTGCAAATGTTATAGTCTGGTGGCAAAAAATTCACATGCATGCAAAAAAAAATACACTATGGAGAGTATAAACCAGATCTATACCACCGCAATGGTAAGACAGCAGGGGTTACTTTTTCTTCAGGGTTTCTGGGAAAGCTTCTTAGAGGGATGACATTTGGATTAGACCTTGGAAGATGACCAGCAGTTCACCAGAGAGTACACCGTGAAAAAATTCTAAGAAGAAAGAATTGCCTCCATACTGGGTCTTAGAATCCTCCTTCTAGGGGGACACTGAGTTTTCCAGTGGAGTTCAGGAAGACCATGGACTTTTACAGTACCAAAGAAATGAATAAATAATGGTGGAATTCCAAAGAACAGAGCAGGTATCTCATCTGAGAGGCAGAATGTGGAATCTGGATTGAGACTGCTTGGTTTCAATTCTCAGCCACTGATGATCTGTGTGACCTGGTGCAAGTTGGCTCTGTGTCTCAGTTTCCACAAGTATAAAATGGGGATAATAAGAGCGTCTACCTCCCAGAGTTGTCATGACAACTAAGCTGGTTAGATCAATCTCTGACATGTAGTGAGTACTACGTATGTGTTTACCCTTCTGATTCTCCACTATCCCTGAAATTCAAGCTGGTCAGCAGCTGCCCACTTTATCTCTCTGTAGAACTGGCCCTGAATTTTGGGAGAAACTGAATTGGCAAAGAACTGAGTTAGAAGAGAAAGAATTAGTTACCATATACCAAGTCTGTCTCTGGCATGAACCCCTGCGATCTGGGTTTGGTGTAAAGCAGCTTGTCCCAAGGAGGGTTATTTGATAAAAAATTCTATCAGCTAAGTTTGGGAAATTCTGGATTAAACAGAGGCAAATCGAGATCTTTGATGTGGGATTCCTCCGAGCATTAATATATTAATAAGCATTGTGAATCTCCAAGAGAGAAGCAGAACATGTAGCATTTTCCAATCTCCCAGACTAGGTTTTCCTCCATCCTCTGCTCCCTCCACCTTCTCTCTCAGTGTCTTCTGGGATTCATATTCTGTGGCATAAATTTAGGAAGCGCTGGTGCCAAGCACTCCCTTGCTGTCCCAGAATCATCTCAGTGTCCCAAACCAATCAAGACTAATTTTCACGGACCTCTTTTGCCTGAAGGCACCAGGGGATCCTATAGCCTAAGAGAGAGATTGGGGAATTTCTCAACACATGAATTACGGTTATAACTTGTGGGTGTAAAAAGCCAAGAATTTCTACGCTTTGGACTCTGAGGATGTCTTTGTTCAGACCCAGAACTGACAAAACTCTAGGTACAATCTTCCTAGACTTACTTCCTACAAAGCGTTTAGAATGACACTTTCCAAACCTCCAGGGTAACCCTTTTGTGAAGTCCTAATTAGAGAAAAGGAGTTAGGCTGGTGAGAGCACGGGAAAGCAAAGAAAGAAAGAAAGCAGATAAGCTATGAGTCTGCCTTTCTTTGTGGTCCAGGACACGTAGCCCTCCTGTGCCCAACTTATCACTAGACACCTGTACAGCTCGCTGTAACCTTGGCGTTATCAATACTGCACAAAGCTCTTTTCAGTACACAGCAAAGAACCATCCTATAAAATCTCCAGCAAGCCTTTGTTTCCTTGCAGTCAGCTTCTCTCTTGCTGATTCTGCCTGTTGCTCCTTTGCAATGTACTTTCATACTTTCTCTACTAAATCTGCCTTTCTTTACCTACAACTGTCTTGGTAAAGCCTTCTTACCCCCACGCCACCAGCTCAGATAGTTGCCACTTACCAATGACACCTTTCACCTGGGTAAATTCCTCTCTTTTTGGGGTCCCAAAATATCTTGAGCTTCCTGGGCCTGTTAGGAGGTGATATTCTTTACTTACCACAGGTCAGGAATCTTGTAAAGAAACTATGTAGACAAGGTACCAGGCAATCTTTTGTTTGTTTGTTTGTTTTGAGACAGGGCCTCCCTCTGTAACACAGGCTGAGTGCAGTGGTAATCATAGCTCACTGCAGCCTTGAACTCCTAGGCTCAAGCATTCCTCTGCCTCAATCTCTCAAGTAGGTAGGACTAAACATGTATGCCACCACTCCTGGCTTTTATTTATTTTTTTTTGGTAGAGACAAGGTCTTGCCATGTTGCCCAGGCTGGTCTTGAACACCTGGCCTCAAGTGATCCTACGGCTTCGGCCTTTCAAAGTGCTGGGATTATGGGGGTGAGCTGCCATGCCTAGCCTAGGCCAATCTCTTCAAGGGGCTTTTTATTAGCACTGTAAAGTCGATGTCAATTCCTCAACATAGTCTGGTCATATCTGAAAATAGGTCATTCCAGTCAAAGCCTTGGTAACATAACCAGTTTCTCTAATTGTGTCATGTTACAAAAGAAAACAGATTCTTACTGAACTTATGTAAATAACTATATTGTCATAAATTAAGAATACTCACAAATAGTTTCTAAATTCCAAATAAACCAGGTAAAGAGAAAGATATCTGTTTTAAATTTTGCTGACAAAAGTATACTTTACCCAATTTGTTATAAGCTACGAATAGCTGAAACAAAAAAGTTTTTTGACTCTGAAAACAAAACATTAAAAGGACTGGCAATGTTTTTTAAAAAAGAGGCTGTGAAAAAATCAGTTTAGTCTTTTATTAGTTTAGTTCAATGTAATTAACCTTGTTCTGCTTGATGTTGAGTTAGCTATCTTCATAAACACATCAGCCTTTTAGTTAGAGTCCTAGAAGTTCTTTCCTAGTCTAATGGTATGATAGCTAAAGTTATCAGAAACCTGTATTTAAAAGTCTGTGGCAGAGCCTTTTCTATGATTTTTTTTAAAAGAAGCAGATTTTGGGCTGTAGCTGATCATAAACCACTTTTTGAGAATAACCAAAGTAAAACAGTAATTGTCTGTGGTTAGGAAAGGCAATATTCATGGTTAAAGACACAATTGTCAAGGAAATTTGATTGTTTTTGTGGCATACTGCAATTAAGCATAATAATCAGAATTATTCCTGATGACAAATACTAAGACATATCAGAATTTAAGGAATCTTACACAATTTTGGAACATATATTAATAGCACACGTATGTAAATATAACCCAGAGAAAGTTAAACAGCAGTTTTTTTTTGTTTGTTTTTTTGTTTGTTTTTGAGACAGAGTCTTGCTCTGTCACCTAGGCTAGAGTGCAGTGGCGTGATCTTGGCTCACTGCAACCTCCACCTCCCAGGTGCAAGCAATTCTCCTGCCTCAGCCTCCCCCGTAGGTTGGATTACATGCCTGGCTAATTTTTGTATTTTTAGTAGAGATGGGGTTTCGGCATGTTCGTCAGGCTGGTCTCAAACTCCTGACCCCAAGTGATCCACCCACCTTGGCCTCCCAAAATGCTGGGATTACAGGCATGAGCCACTACGCCTGGCCAGCATTTCTTATTTGATAATGTTTTTTGTCTGATTTTAACATACGAAATGAGCTTAATATGTCTCTCTTGGACTTCCAGGGACCCTAATATCCAAAAAGTTAGTTTGAGGTCAAAAAGACCAAATTTAGAATTCACTGCTGCAAGGGAGGTGGGGCTGGAGATTATGCTCTAATAAAACTCTTGAACAACAGATTTGATTAGCTTCTAGGTTGGCGAACACATCAAGGTGCTGGAAGGGTGGTGTGCCAGGTCAGGGCATGTAAGCCTCACCTTCCTTTCTCATACTTTGCACTGTGTACCTCTTCATCTTGCTGGTAAGTGTTGTTTCCTTGAGTTCTGTGAGCTGTTATTGCAAAATATTAAGCTGGAGGAGAGGGTCATGGGAACCCTTGATTTGTAGCCAAATTAGACAGAAGAGTGGATAACCTGGAGACCCACTGTTTGCAATTGGCATCTAAAGTTGGGGAGGTGCAGTTTTGTGAGACTGAGCCCTTAACCTGAGGGGTCTGTGCTAACTCCAAGTAGTAAGCATCAGAATTGAAATAAATTGTAGAATATTCAGCTGGTGTCTGCGGAATTGGAGAATTGTTGGTTGGCATTGGAAAACACCCTAGACACCTGTCTGTTAGTAGCTTCTATTTATGAAACACCAAAGTCCTATGAGAGAAGTACCGTTATTATAATATTATTTTTGCTTTTAAATTATGTAGCAAAATAGACTTTCTGTTGATGTATATAGTTCTGTGAATTTTAATACATGTAGATTCATGTGAATACCACTATAATCAGGGTATAAAACAATTCCTTCACCCCCCTTCCCCAAAACCTCCCTGTGTTATCCTTTTGTAGTCCTGTCCTCCCTCCCATGCCCCAACTCCAGGCAACCATTGATCTTGTCACTATAGTTTTGTCCTTTGTGGAATATCATAGAATATGTAACCTTTTGAGTCTGGCTTTTGTCATTCAACATAATGCTTTTGAGATTCATTTAAGTTGCTACATGCATCAATAGTTTATACATTTTTATTGCTGCATAGTATTCCATTGTATTGCTGTACCAGTTTGCCTATCTGTTCACTTGCTAAAGGACATTTGGGTTGTTTCCAATTTTTGGTGGTTATGAATAGGGTCGCTATAAACATTCGTGGATTTTGTTTGTTTGTTTTGTGTTTTGTTTTTTGAGATAGAGTCTTGCTCTGTTGCCCAGGCTGGAGTGCAGTTCAGCTCACTGCAACCTCGGCCTCCCGGATTCAAGCAATTCTCCTGCCTCAGCCTCCTGAGTAGAGTACCTGGGACTACAGGTGTGTGCCACCACGCCCAGCTAATTTTTGTATTTTTTTTTTTTTTTTTTTTTTTAGTAGAGATGGGGGATGGGGTTTCACCATGTTAGCCAGGCTGGTCTCAAACTCCTGACCTCAAGTGATCCGGCTACCTCGGCCTCCCAAAGTGTTGAGATTACAGACATGAGTCACCGTGCCTGGCTGAATGGTTTTTATTTTTTATTTTTTTTCTGATACAGAGTCTTGTTCTGTCACCCAGGCTGGAGTGTAGTTGCACAATCTTAGCTCTCTGCAACCTCCACCTCCCAGGTTCAAGCGATTCTCTTGCCTCAGCCTCCTGAGTAGCTGGGATTACAGGCACGCACCACACCCAGCTAATTTTTGTATTTTTAGTAGAGATGGGGTTTCACCATGTTGGTCAGGCTGGTCTCGAACTCCTGACCTCATGATCCACCCGCTTCAGCCTCCCAAAGTGCTGGGATTACAGGCATGAGCCACTGTGCCTGGCCACTAAATGATTTTTTAATAAACATAAGATTTCATTTCTCCAGGGTAAATATCTAGGATTTGGGTGCGGGACCATTTGGCACATACTTAATTTTATGAGAAACCAACAAACTGCTTTCTGGCATGGCTGACCTTTTTGCATTTCCAGCAGCAGTAGCTGAGCATTCTAGTTGCCCTGCAGCCTCCCCAGTATTTGCCTTTGTCAGTTATTTTAGCCATTCTAATAGGTGTGCAGTGGAATCTCACAGTGGCTTTAACTTGCATTCCTTAATAGTTGCTAATGTTGAACATCTTTTTCATGTGCTTATTCGCTATCTGTATATTCACCTTGGTGAAGTGTCTGTTCACATTTTTTGCTCATTTTGTTGTTGCCAGTCAGGATTGTTTGTTTTCTTGATGTTGAGTTTTGAGAGTTTTTTATTCTTGATACCAATTCTTTGGCAGATATGTTGTTTACAAATACTTTCTCCCACTCTGTAGCCAATCTTTTCATTCTCTTGACAATGTCTGTCACAGAGCAAACATGCGTTTTTAATTTTCAATAGGTCCAATTTATCAACAGGAGATAAATTTTCCTGCTATGATCATGCTTTTGGTGTCATCTCTATGCACTCTCTGCCCAACTGTAGATCACAAAAGTTTTTCTCCCATATGTTCTTCTTAAAACTTCATAATTTTACGTTTTGCAAACTAACCTATGATCCATTTTGAATTAATTTTGTATAGGCTGTGTAGTTTAGGTTGTAGTATAAGTTGTGTAGTTTAGGTTGAGGCTCATTTTTTTTTTGCAAATGGATAATTTTTCCAGCACCATTTATTGAAAAGTTTATCATTCTCCATTGAATTGCCTTCATACCTTTGTGAGAAATCAATTGGTCTTATGTTGTGTGGGTGTGTTTCTGGACTCTCTATTCTGTTCCATTGATTTATATTTCTGTCCCCCAACCAGTACTACACCATCTAGATTAATAGAGATTTATAATATCTTAAAATTGAGTAGTCTTAAAATTGGTGTTCCTTCTATTTTATTCTTTTTCAAAATTATTTTGTATTCATGTTCCTTTGCCTTTCCCATATTTCATTTTATTTTAATGATGTTATAATTTTTTTATGCATTTTATTTTTTTAGAGATGAGGTCTTGCTCTGTTGCTTAGGCTGGAATGCAGAGGTGTGATCGTAGCTCACAGCAATCTCGAACTCCAGGGCTCAAGTGATCCTCTTGCTTCAGCCTCCCTTCGCCCCCGCCTTTTTTTTTTTTTTTTAAGGAATCAGCTTGTATATATTATCAATAATCCCTCTGAGATTTTTACTGGAATAATGTTAAATCTATACATAAATATGAAGAGAATTGACTTCTTTACTATGTTGGGCCTTCTAATCCATAAAGATGGTATATCAGTCTCTCCATCTATTTAGATTTCTTTTGAAGTTGCTTTCTTTTAACACTTTAAATCCCTCACTCCACTTTCTTCTTGTTTGCCTAATTTCTGACAAGATATCAGCTATAATTTTATCCTTGTTCCTCTATAGTTAGGCATTCTCCCACCCACTCCCCAGCTTCTTTCAAGAGTTTTCTGTCATTGGATTGTTGTCTGTCATTAGTTTTGGAAGATTCTCAGCCATTATTATAATACTTCAAATATTTCTTCTTCATCTCTTTTTCTTCCTCTCTCTTTATTCTTCTAGAATTTTAATTGTTTTACTTCGCTGATGTATTTCTTCTTCACGCATACACACGCACACACACACACACACACACACACACACACACAGTTTAAAATCTAAGCCAGATATAAAAGACTGTATAACTCATAATAATTTTCTAAATAAATTTTTTTAATTTACAAAAATAGAAACAAAAATTTTTAAGACATATGATTCTATTTACATGACATTTTAGAAAAGTCCATTACATGACTATAAAGGGACAGATGGCAGCTTTTTGGTTTGCCAGAAATGGTGGTTACATAACTGTATAAATTTGCCAAAACTTATTGAAAGACATACTTGTAAATAATACATTTTATTGTATATAAATTATGTCGATAAACTTAATGTTTTCAAAATATCAGTTATTGAAATGATGTGCACAGGCCAGGCATGATGGTTCACACCTGTAATCCCAGCACCTTGGGAATCCAAGGCACTTTGGGAAGCCGAAGCAGGCGGATCTCTTGAGGCCAGGAGTTCGAGACCAGCATGGCCGACATGGTGAAACCCCATCTGTACTAAAAATACAAACATTAGCCAGGCATTGGTGGCACACGCCTGTAGTCCCAGCTACTCAGGAGTCTGAGGCACGAGAATCTCTTGAGCCTGAGAGGCGGAGGTTGCAGTGAGCCGAGATCATGCCACTGAGCTTCAGGAGAAGTTGGATCTGCAACATTATGTTTTGCCATCACGGTTGCAGGCTTCCTAAGTAAATTTGAAAAGTAAAGGACGAGCAAGGTAAAGAGTTCATGGAAAATTGCCACCCTTTTTCTCACATAGGATGTCACAATTTTCTGACATCCCACAGTCAGAGTTGGAGCTTAATACTTACAACTACAAATAATGGTACTATTATGACACTTACATCTGGTATTGTATAGTGTTTCAAATTACATATATGTATGTGAGTATGTATGTGTTTATATATTTTCTTAGCCATTCAGATAGATCCCAGACAGACTGCAGTGCACGTTTATTAGCCATCTTATACATGAGGTTGTCATTTGCTCCAGGGTACATGGCTACTAAGCAGAAGCTCAGATCTTGTAAGTTCTTTTCTGGTAGGTAGAAGAGTAACTTTTTCCACTCTGCTACTTGTAGTTCCTCAGGAAATCAAGAAAGCAGCATCAGAGCTGTATTAGTCTCCTCTTCGATGTAATAAAGTCAGCTATTAGATATGAGAAAACCATTTCAGAAGCCTGGATTAAGGTGAGATCTTTGGAACTTTGATTATCAAGGAGGAAATGAGTGGCAATTAGTGACAGATGTATAACTAAGGTAGATTGAAATAAAAATCTCAAAAGTCATTCAAGGGGAAATGATAGCTGATGGTTGCCATATGGACACATTGGCTCTTAGATGAGATAACAGGGCATGCTGAATAAGGTGAAATGTGTTTTGCTGATGTGTCATAATATTTTTGTGACTCTCTCCTGTTTTTTCAGGCAATTGAAAACACTGCCTCAGTGTCTGAACACGAGGTAATGTTCATGTACTATGCATTTTCAGTATTGCAGACTTAAAAGTAATGACATTGGCTAGCTTGCCTTCCCACTTTCTTTCTTTCTCCTCCCTCCAGTCACTCTTCTCTCTCTTCCCTAGTTGCTCTAATAAACATTAGCTGTCTGGGGAAGATAATCTGAGGTGGCGACTGGCCAGATAGCCTGCCCCTACTCACTCTGGCTGTAAAATAAGCCTACAGTATCCACAAGGGGAAATACTAACAGTGTAAACAAGCACATCAAGGTGCAGTCAAAGAAGCCAGGTCCCCACCGATGAGATGAAGAAAATAACCACCTAAGTCTCAGGTCCCTATATCTGCCTAATTGCCCTTCCTTCCACCCAGCACCACTGTCAAGATAATGGCATTCCATGTTTTACTTTACTTTGCTCATGTAGACCTGACTGGAGTAAATCAGTCTGTCCACCGTCAAGGCAGTGGTACTGGATCTTATGTCCCTATTAATTCTAGAAATACCTTCCATCAAAAAGCCAGATGATTGGCCTGGCGTGGTGGCTCACGCCTATAATCCCAGCACTTTGGAGGCTGAGGCAGGCGGATCATCTGAGGTCAGGAGTTTGAGACCAGCCTGGCCAATGTAGCAAAACCCCGTCTCTACTAAAAATACAAAAAATAATTAGCCTGGCCTGGTGGCACACGCCACTGCACTCCAGCCTGGGTGACAGTGCAAGACTCCATCTCAAAAGATAAAAAGCCAGATGATTGAGTTCCTTAGGTGCTGATTGGTTGCCTTTAAAGATTTTTCTTTGGTTGGAATCTGTTTTGTGGGATTTTTGTCAGTTGTGTTAGCCAATTTTTGGATGACCATCTTAAAAGCTTTCATGATGCTGAATAAAGCAATGAAAATTCAAATTTTTTTGTGCTGAAAAATATCAAAGTACTCCAACACACTGTTTTTGGTTTTGGATAAACATAAATTTACCACCTTGGCTGCCTGCATACCTATTTTTACATATTTGTAATCATTGTATAAATATAATTTGTATTCTTTTTTCTCAACATTTTTTCTCCATGTGCTTCTGCGTTGTCTTCACTGTTATCTTTAATGACTGTATTCTGGTCTAATGACTCTCAATTTTGGTGTCCTAAGGAGTGGGGCATTCAGTTAAGAGAAGTAGTAAAATTTGTTTTGTTTTTTCTTTTTTGTCCTGCTTACCTTTTTTTTTTTTTGACAAGAGAAAACCACAGATGAATATTTATGCAAACACAGGCTAAGAAAATCATTTTTTTAAATATAAAAGAAAGAAATTATGTTAGAGAATGTTGATGAATATGACCATATAAAATTTATGGTTACAAAGATGAGTTGAATTGACCAATTTGCTTCTCGGAAAATATGAAAATTTGAATGCTTCTTGAAGGCACTAGAAGAAGGTCTGTTCTATGATCTATTTTTTCAAGTGATCAAGTGAATTCCCAGGATAAAAGGGATATAGTTTTTTTTTTAATTATTATACTTTAAGTTCTAGGGTACATGTGCACAACATGCTGGTTTGATATATAGCTATGCATGTGCCATTTTGGTTTGCTGCATCCATTAACTCGTCATTCACATTAGGTATTTCTCCTAATGCTATCTCTCCCCCAGCCCCCTACCCACCGACAGGCCCCAGTGTGTGATGTTCCCCGTCCTGTGTCCTAGTGTTCTCATTGTTTAATTCCCACCTATGAGTGAGAACATGTGGTGTTTGATTTTCTGTCCTTGCGATAGTTTGCTGAGAATGATGGATTCCAGCTTCATCCATGTCCTTACAAAGGACACGAACTCATCCTTTTTTATGGCTGCATAGTACTCCATGGTGTATATGTGCCACATTTTCTTAATCCAGTCTATCATTGATGGACATTTGGGTTGGTTCCAAGTCTTTGCTATTGTGAATAGTGCCGCAATAAACATACGTGTGCATGTGTCTTTATAGTAGCATGATTCATAATCCTTTAGGTATATACCCAGTAATGGGATCCCTGGGTCAAATGGTATTTCTAGTTCTAGATCCTTGAGGAATCGCCACACTGTCTTCCACAATGGTTGAACTAATTTACACTCCCTCCAACAGTGTAAAAGCGTTCCTATTTCTCCACATCCTCTCCAGCACCTGTTGTTTCCTGACTTTTTAATGATTGCCACTGTAACTGGTGTGAGATGGTAGCTCATTGTGGTTTTGATTTGCATTTCCCTGATGACCAGTGATGATGAGCATTTTTTCATGTGTCTGTTGGCTGCATAAATGTCTTCTTTTGAGAAGTGTCTGTTCATATCTTTTGCCCATTTTTTGATGGGGCTGTTTTTTTCTTGTAAATTTGTTTAAGTTCTTTGTAGATTCTGGATATTAGCCCTTTGTCAGATGGGTAGATTGCAAAAATTTTCTCCCATTCTGTAGGTTGCCTGTTCACTCTGATGGTAGTTTCTTTTCCGTGCAGAAGCTCTTTAGTTTAATTACATCCCATTTGTCAATTTTGGCTTTTGTTGCCATCGCTTTTGGCGTTTTAGTCATAAAGTCCTTGCCCATGCCTATGTCCTGAATGGTATTGCCTAAGTTTTCTTCTAGGGTTTTTATGGTTTTAGATCTAATATTTAAGTCTTTAATCCATCTTGAATTAATTTTTGTATAAGGTGTAAGGAAGGGATCCAGTTTCAGCTTTCTACATATGGCTAGCCTGTTTTCGAGCACCATTTATTAAATAGAGAATCCTTTCCCCATTTCTTGTTTTTGTCAGGTTTGTCAAAGATCAGATGGTTGTAGATGTGTGGTGTTATTTCTGAGGTCTCTGTTCTGTTCCATTGGTCTATATCTCTGTTTTGGTACCAGTACTATGCTGTTTTGGTTACTGTAGCCTTGCAGTGTAGTTTGAAGTCAGGTAGCATGATGCCTCTAGCTTTGTTCTTTTTGCTTAGGATTGTCTTGGCAATGTGGGCTCCTTTTTGGTTCCATATGAACTTTAAAGTAGTTTTTTCCAATTCTGTGAAGAAAGTCATTGGTAGCTTGATGGGGATGGCATTGAATCTGTAAATTACCTTGGGCAGTATGGCCATCTTCACAACATTGATTCTTCCTATCCATGAGCATGGAATGTTCTTCCATTTGTTTGTGTCCTTTTTGATTTCTTTGAGCAGTGGTTTGTAGTTCTCCTTGAAGAGGTCCTTCACATTCCTTGTAAGTTGGATTCCCAGGTATTTTATTCTCTTTATAGCAATTGTGAATGGGAGTTCACTCATGATTTGGCTCTGTTTGTCTGTTATTGGTGTATAGGAATGCTTGGGATTTTTGCACATTGATTTTGTATCCTGAGATTTTGCTGAAGTTGCTTATAAACTTAAGGAGATTTCGGGCTGAGACTATGGGGTTTTCTAGACATGCAATCATATCATCTGCAAAGAGGGACAATTTGACTTCCTCTTTTCCTAATTGACTACCCTTTTTTTCTTTCTCTTGCCTGATTGCCCTGGCCAGAACTTCCAACACTATATTGAATAGGAGTGGTGAGAGAGGGCATCCCTCTCTTGTGCCAGTTTTCAAAGGGAATGCTTCCAGTTTTTGGCCATTCAGTATGATATTGGCTGTGGGTTTGTCATAAATAGCTCTTATTATTTTGAGATACGTTCCATCAATACATAGTTTATTGAGAGTTTTTAGCATGAAGGGCTGTTGAATTTTGTTGAAGGCCTTTTCTGCATCTATTGAGATAATCATGTGGTTTTTGTCATTAGTTCTGTTTATGTGATGGATTATGTTTATTGATTTGCATATGTTGAACCAGCCTTGCATCCCAGGGATGAAGCTGACTTGATCATGGTGGATAAGCTTTTTGATGTGCTGCTGGATTCAGTTTGCCAGTATTTTATTGAGGATTTTTGCAATGATGTTCATCAGGAATATTGGTCTAAAATTCTCTTTTTTGGTTGTGTCTCTGCCAGGCTTTGGTATTAGAATGATGTTGGCCTCATAAAATGAATTAGGAAAGAGTCCCTCTTTTTCTATTGATTGGAATAGTTTCAGAAGGAATGGTACCAGCTCCTCTTTGTACCTCTGGTAGAATTCGGCTGTGAATCCGTCTGGTCCTGGACTTTTTTTGGTTGGTAGGCTATTAATTATTGCCTCAATTTCAGAGCCTTTTGGTCTATTCAGAGATTCACCCTCATCCTGGGTTAGTCTTGGGAGGGTGTATGTGTCCAGGAATTTATCCATTTCTTCTAGATTTTCTAGTTTATTTGCATGAGGTGTTTATAGTATTCTCTGATGGTAGTTTGTATTTCTGTGGGATCGGTGGTGATATCCCCTTTATCATTTTTTATTGCATCTATTTGATTCTTCTCTCTTTTCTTCTCTATTAGTCTTGCTAGCAGTCTATCAATTTTGTTAATCTTTTCAAAAATCCAGCTCCTGGATTCATTGATTGTTTGAAGAGGTTTTGTGTCTCTATCTCCTTCAGTTCTTCCCTGATCTCAGTTATTTCTTGCCTTCTGCTAGCATTTGAATTTGTTTGCTCTTGCTTCTCTAGTTCTTTTAATTGTGATATTAGGGTGTCTATTTTAGACCTTTTCTGCTTTCTCTTGTGGGCATTTAGTGCTATAAATGTCCCTCTACACACTGCTTTAAATGTGTCCCAGAGATTCTGGTACATTGTGTCTTTGTTCTCATTGGTTTCAAAGAATATCTTTATTTCTGCCTTCATTTCGTTTTTTATCCAGTAGTCATTCAGGAGCAGGTTGTTCAGTTTCCAGGTAGTTGTATGGTTTTGAGTGAGTTTCTTAATCTTGAGTTCTAACTTGATTGCACTGTGGTCTGAGAGACAGTTTATTGTGATTTCTGTTCTTTTACATTTGCTGAGGAGTGTTTTACTACCAATTATGTGGTCAATTTTAGAGTAAGTGCTATGTGGTGCTGAGAAGAATGTATACTCTGTTGATTTTGGGGTGGAGAGTTCTGTAGATGTCTATTAGGTCTGCTTGGTGCAGAGCTGAGTTCAAGTCGTGGATATCCTTGTTAACTTTCTGTCTCATTGATCTGTCTAATGTTGACAGTGGGGTGTTAAAGTCTCCCATTATTATTGTATGGGAGTCTAAGTCTCTTTGTAGGTCTCTAAGGACTTGCTTTATGAATCTGGGTGCTCCTGTATTGGGTTCATATATATTTAGGATAGTTAGCTCTTCTTGTTGAATTGATCCCTTTACCATTATGCAATGGCCTTCTGTGTCTCTTTTGATCTTTGATGGTTTAAAGTCTATTTTATCAGAGACTAGGATTGCAACCCCTCCTTCTTTTTGTTTTCCATTTGCCTGGTAGATCTTCCTCCATCCCTTTCTTTTGAGCCTATGTGTGTCTCTGCACGTGAGATGGGTCTCCTGAATACAGCACACTGATGGGTCTTGACTTTTTATCCAATTTGCCAGTCTGTGTCTTTTAATTGGGGCATTTAGCCCATTTACATTTAAGGTTAATATTGTTATGTGTGAATTAGATCCTGTCATTATGATGTTAGCTGGTTATTTTGCCCATTAATTGATGCAGTTTCTTCATAGCATGGATGGTCTTTACAATTTGGCATGTTTTTGCAGTGGCTGGTACCAGTTGTTCCTTTCCATGTTTAGTGCTTCCTTCAGGAGCTCTTGTAAGGCAGGCCTGTTGGTGACAAAATCTCTCAGCATTTGCTTGTCTGTAAAGGATTTTATTTCTCCTTCACTTATGAAGCTTAGTTTGGCTGGATATGAAGTTCTGGGTTGAAAACTCTTCTCTTTAAGAATGTTGAGTATTGACCCCCACTGTCTTCTGGCTTGTACAGTTTCTGCCAAGAGATCTGCTGTTAGTCTAATGGGCTTCCCTTTGTGGGTAACCTGACCTTTCTCTCTGGCTGCCCTTAACATTTTTTCCTTCATTTCAACCTCGGTGAATCTGACAATTATGTGTCTTGGAGTTGTTCTTCTGGAGGAGAATTTTTGTGGCGTTCTCTATATTTCCTGAATTTGAGTGTTGGCCTGCCTTGCTAGGTTGTGGAAGTTCTCCTGGATAATATCCCGAACAGTGTTTTCCAACTTGGTTCCATTCTCCATGTCACTTTCAGGTACACCAATCAAATGTAGATTTGGTCTTTTCACATAGTCCCATACTTCTTAGAGGCTTTGTTCATTTCTTTTTACTCTATTTTCTCTATTCTTGTCTTCTTGCTTTATTTCATTCATTTGATCTTCAATCACTGATACCCTTTCTTCCACTTGATCACATTGGCTATTGAAGCTTGTGCATGCATCACAAAGTTCTCATGCCATGGTTTTCCATCAGGTCATTTAAGGCCTTCTCTACACGGTTTATTCTAGTTAGCAATTCGTCTAACCTTTTTTCAAGGTTTTTAGCTTTCTTTGGATGGGTTCGAACATCCTCCTTTAGCTCGGAGAAGTTCGTTATTACCGATCTTCTGAAGCCTACTTCTGTCAACTCATCAAAGTCATTCTCCATCCAGCTTTGTTCCGTTGCTGGTGAGGAGCTGAGATCCTTTGGAGGAGAAGAGGCACTCTCGTTTTTAGAATTTTCAGCTTTTCTGCTTTGGTTTCTCCCCATCTTTGTGGTTTTATCTACCTTTGGTCTTTGATGTTGGTGACCTACAGATGGGGTTTTGGTGTAGATGTCCTTTTTGTTGACGTTGATGCTATTCCTTTCTGTTTGTTAGTTTTCCTTCTAACAGTCAGGTCCCTCAGCTGCGGATCTGTTGGAGTTTCCTGGAGGTCCACTCCAGATGCTGTTTGCCTGGTTATCACCAGTGGAGGCTGCAGAACAGCAAATATTGCAGAACAGCAAATATTGCTGCCTGATCCTTCCTCTAGAACCTTCGTCCCAGAGGGGCACCCAGCTATATGAGGTGTCTGTTGGCCCCTACTGGGAGGTGTCTCCCAGTTAGGCTACACAGGGGTCAGGGACCCACTTGAGGAGGCAGTCTGTCTGTTCTCAGAGCTCATACGCCATGCTGGGAGAACCACTGCTCTCTTCAGAGCTGTCAGACAGGGATGTTTAAGTCTGCAGAAGTTGTCTGCTGCCTTTTGTTCAGCTATGCCCTGCCCACAGAGATGGAGACTATAGAGGCCTAGGCCTTGCTGAGCTGTGGTGGGCTCCACCCAGTTCAAGCTTCCCAGCCGCTTTACCTACTCAAGCCTCAGCAATAGCGGACACCCCTCCCCGAGCCTGGCTGCCGCCTCGCTGGTCAATCTCAGACTGCTGCACTAGCAGTGAGCAAGGCTCCGTGGGCGTGGGACCTGCTGAGCCAGGTGAAGGAGAGAATCTCTTTGTCTGCTGGTTGCTAAGACCTTGGGAAAAGCACAGTATTTGGTTGTGAGTTTCCTCATATTCCAGGTACAGTTTGTCACGGCTTCCCTTGGCTATAAAGGGAAATCCTCCGCCCCCTTGTGCTTCCTGGGTGAGGCAATGCCCCACCCTGCTTTGGCTCACCCTCCGTGGGCTGCACCCACCGTCCAACCAGTCCCCATGAGATGAACCAGGTACCTCAGTTGGAAATGCAGAAATCACCCGTCTTCTGTGTCAGTCATGCTGGGAGCTGCAGACAGGAGCTGTTCCTATTCAGCCATTTTGGATAAAAGGCCCTGCTTGCCTTTTTAACTCTTTTTGTTTGTTTTTGTTTGTTTGTTTTTCCTAGAAGCATAGACTCAAGTTGCCCTGAATATACTCCCAACGTTTTCTATTTTTTTGTTTTGTTTTGTTTTTTAAGAGACCAGGTCTTGCACTGTCGCCCAAGTTGGAGTGCAGTGGCAGCACCATAGCTCACTGCAGCCTCAGACTCCTGGGTTCAAGTGATCCTCCCACCTCAATCTTCAGAGTAACTGGGACTACAGGCAAGCACAACCAGGCCTGGCTAATTCAATTTTTTTTTTTTCCTGAGACAGAATTTTGCTCTTTCGCCCAGGCTGGCACAATCTCAGCTCACTGCAACCTCTGCCCCCTGGTTTGAAGCAGTTCTCCTGCTTCGGCCTCCCTCGTAGCTGGGATTACAGGTGCCCACCACCACACCCAGCTAATTTTTGTATTCTTAGTAGAGACAGGATTTCACCATGTTGGCCAGGCTGGTCTCGAACTGCTGACCTCAAGTGATCCACCTGCCTCAGCCTCTCAAAGTGCTAGGATTACAGGTGTGAGCCACCACACCCAGCCAATTCTTTTATTTTTTATAGAGATGAGGTCTTGCTGTGTTTCCCAGGCTGGTCTCAAATTTTTAGCTTCAAGTGATCCTCCTGCTTGGACCTCCCAAAGTGCTGGGATTATAGGCATGAGCCACTTCACCCAGTCCTCATATTTTTCTTTTTTAAATGTAGATAAACAAGCTAATTGTGGAGAAAAACCCACAAGGAATCTACAGATGTAAAAAATACAGTTTTTCTCCATTCTCTGTCCCATTCCTCAGGGATAATCATCCTTCCAAATTTTTTCTGTTCATATACGAGCTGTAATTGTGTGCAAGTACAGGTATACTCTTATGCCTACACATATGTATGTTTATATATTGTTTTTACAAAAGCAGAATCTTAACTATGATTATGGGTGGTGGTGGTGTTGTTTAAAGAGACAGGGTCTCACTGTGTCACCAGGCTGGAGTGCAGTGTCACAATCATAGCTCACTGTTGCCTCCACCTCCTGGGCTCAATGATCCTCCCTCCTCAGCCTCCCAAAGCAGTGGGATTATAGGCATGAGCCTTCATGCCCAGCCTGATTATCCTTTTGCAGGCTGCTGATTTTTCCACTTCATGTCAGGAATGTCTTTTCTCTGTCAAAAAATAGAGTATGGCTCAGCAGTCCCTAACCTTTTTGGCACCAGGGACTGGTTTCATGGAAGACAGTTTTTCCACAGACCGTCTCGGGGCCTGATTTCAGGATGAAACTGTTCAACCTTAGATCATCAGGCACTACTTAGATTCTCATAAGGAACGTGCAGCCTAGATCCTGCGCATGTGCAGTTCACAATAGGGTTCGCGCTCCCGTGAGAATCTAATGCAGCCGCTAATCTGACAGGAGGCGGATCTCAGTGGTAATGACCACTTGACCACCCCTCACCTCCTGCTGTGCAGCTTGGTTCCTAGCAGACCACGGACTCCATGGTCCAGGAGTTGGGGACCCCTAGTCTAGCTTATTCTTTTTTTTTTTTAATTTTGTAATTAAAAAGTCTTTTTTAGACAGAGTCTCGCTGTGTCACCCAGGCTGGAGTGCAGTGGCACGATCTCGGCTCATTGCAACCTCCACCTCCCGGGTTCGAGTCATTGACCTGCCTCAGCCTCCTGAGTAGCTGGGATTGCAGGCAGTTGCCACCACGACTGGCCAATTTTTTTTTTGTATTTTTTAGTAGAAATGGGGTTTCACCGTGTTGGCCAGGCTGGTCTCGAACTCCTAACCTCAGGTGATATGTATACCTCAGCCTCCCAAAGTACTGGGATTACGGGTGTGAGCCCCCACGCCCAGCCTGGCTTATCCTTTTTGATGACTATAATATTTCAAAAATTAAAATTACTCCATCATAATTTACTGAACCCTTTCCAGATTGATGGGCATTTATAGTCTTTCCAACTTTTCACAAAGTAATTTTCCTAGTAATAGTGAAAATACATACTGGAGTTGGCAAGTGATTGAATCTTTTAATAAATGTGAAGATGTTCAAAGTTACTTCTGTAGTAGTATCACTTTCATGTATATTGCAATGTATTCTTAAGAGATACCAGTGGCTAATAGTTGTGGCACTTTATTTCTCTGAAAAAAATTTCTGGGTTTTGTGAAAAGTGTAGATAAGCCTAAGGGAGTATGTGGAACGAATGAGTATCATCCATTCTGTGTTTTAATCGGGAAAAGCTGCTGTTTCATTGTAGCAAATGTACTGATTGGTTAACTGTTTTTCTATTATTGCATATTTATTGACAATAGGTTTTTGACCTGGTGATGCTTTTCATCATCTATAGTACCAATACCCAGACAAAGAAGTACATTGACAGGGTGCTAAGAAGTAAGATTCGATCAGGCTGCATTCAAGAACAGCTGCTCCAGAGTACATTCTCTGTTCATTATTTATTGTCAGAGATTATTGATTTTTAATCTAAAAAGGAAAGCTTTACAGCTCCCATGTAAAATTTCATCTTATTTCAGTCCATTGTTCAAACCCATTGAGATTTTCGAATTTTATTTTTGCATTATTTTAATTGTCTATCTCAATGCAGTTTGCAACTTTGACAAACTGACCTTCCATATCCTATTCTAAGTAGCTTATAAAAACCTTGAGGGGAATAGGACCAACCTGTAGAAACCAGTATAAACATAAATATGAACCTATTTGAACTATCACTCTTTGGCCATTCAAAACTGTGGACTTTAGGTGATAATTCCTCTGGAAATGTAAGTTATTCAAACTCGAATTTTATAAGCTGGGAATAGTGTTTTGCTGGCTGAATGTTCAGGATATTAACAGTATAGAACTTAGAAAACTGGATGGGCCAGTGATTTGGGTTTGGGTTTGGGTTAGGAGCTAATGAGAATACCTTGTTGGGTCTTAAATTTTATATTTAGGAATAGATTTAATATTGGTATTATTTTACCTTACAGTTCTTTCTGTGTTTATTTCTACCAATGATATATGTTTTGGGCTGTAATTTTCTAGAGGGCAGAAACCACATGTAATTTTTCATTGCATTTTCCCCAGTAAAGCATTATACCCAGCTTAGTACTAAATATAAGATTTTTTAAAATTATGGCATCAATAAGGAAGCTATGTTTATTAACTAGTTATTTACTCTGGGTCCATTAATGTCTATGTATATTGCATTATTGGTAGAGCGTGATCACTTCTCTTCTTGATCTTCTTTTTAAAAAATCAGTTTAGTTAGCATCGAACCTCATAGATCTATTTCAAATTATAACCAAAGTGGAGCATCCCTGGGGGGTAGTGTGATTGCGTGAGGAAACTGGGATTTAGAAGGTCTGGCCTCCAATCCCAAATTGAGCAGATAGGAACATAGTATTAGGCTTATAATTTAACTTCTTTGAACTTAAAGGTCAATTAATATCCAAATGTGGACTCCCACTGATCCTGAGAAAAAACTCAGAATGGTGAAGGATTATTCTGTGTAAAACAAAGATTAAGATTTCTTAAGTTAAAATGAGAGTTGGGGAGGAGAGGTCTGACATTCCAAAAGGATAAGCAACTCTTAGGTTGTGTACTGTTTCCTACAGCTTCTTTTCTCTCTCTACTCTTCCCCACTCAAGGTTCTTAAGGATATGTGTTCATCCATTCTGTCGCTGGCTCAGAGTTTGCTTCACTCTCTAGACCAGAGTATAATTTCATTTGGCAGTCTCCTATACAAATATGCATTTAAGTTTTTTGACACATACTGCCAGCAGGTGTGTTGAAACACTTATTTTGGCAAGGAGGGAACAGGGGAAGGGAAAATAATCTGATGTTTATTTCTTGTTGGTTGGACCTTACTGAAGGGAAAGGATCTCTGAACTGGGTCTCAGGAAAGCTCAATTCTAGTCCCAGCCTTGATGAAATGAAGAGACTTGACTGGTGGATCTAACTCTGTGTTCTGAACTCTAAAATTCTGTCTGAAATTAAGATCCAGATCCAGTTGATGTCAAAACATGAGACATTTTGTTGTTGTTGTTGTCGTTGTTGTTGAGACGGAGTTTCGCTCTTGTTGCCCAGGCTGGAGTGCAGTGGCGCAGTCTTGGCTCACTGCAACCTCTGCCTCCAGGGTTCAAGCGATTCTCCTGTCTCATCCTCCTAAGTAGCTGGGATTACAGGCGCGCACCACCAGGCCCGGCTAATTTTTTGTATTTTTAGTAGAGACAGGGTTTCACCATGTTGGCCAGGCTGGTCTCGAACTCCTGACCTCAGGTGATCCACCCACTTCAGCCTCCCAAAGTGCTGGGATTATAGGTGTGAGCCATCGGGCCTGGCTGAGACACATTTTAATAGCATATATCCAGAGAGGGAGGACTGTATTTGTGGAAAATATTTATGAAAGCAGGTAAAGAACAGTGTCTTATTTTGTATTTTTACATATATTCTTCCTCTTATTAACAATGTTAAAACGCATTTGAATGGAACTTTTAAAATGAAGATTTGTAAAAAATTTTTTTTTTAATTTAAAGTAGAGCAATAGTTGCAGCTGACATGAGGTAGCTGTTGCAGTTGAAAATGTAATTCTGTTATGACTTATGGAGTGATGGTATAAAGGGAGAATGGCATCTAAGACATTTCTGGACCCTCTTAATGTCTTAGAGACACTGTCATGATCCATGTTTGCTTGGAAACATGCAAGTCTAGCCTGTACTATATAGAGAAAAGCTTTAAAGCTTTTAGCTCCTTGAGTGCCATCTTTTTGAGAAATTTCAACTGATCTTGTACAACCTCAACTTAAAGGGTAAAATTTAACCCATATGGGAAAAAGAAAGAGGAAAACTACGCCCAGGAGCAAAATCAGGAGGGCTCAGGTAGAGCTCACTGATAAAATATGGGAAATAGGTCAAGACGGGATGGTCAAGTTACACTGGCATATTCCTAAATCTCCTGAAGCCAACATTAATGAAAACTAGATAATAGATGATGGGATTGGGTTGATTGTGATTTTAACAAAGTAGAGATTGGAGAGGCCTTGGGGGTGAATCCCTTTAGAATGGCCATCCATATTTTGTTTTACACTGTCCTGTTGACTCTCCCCTGTATAGGAAGTGGTTGGTGCCTTAGTGACCCACATCTGCAGTGGGAATGAAGCTGAAGTTGATACTGCCTTAGATGTCCTTCTAGAGTTGGTAGTGTTAAACCCATCTGCTATGATGATGAATGCTGTCTTTGTAAAGGTATCTTATTGGCTTCTTGTACTTTAGATATTGAATACTATAATTGGTGGGAGGTGGTGGGACGGAGGTGAAATGATGGGCAAGTAATATAAATAAAAAGTGACTATTCTATCTATGTGTTAATTGATTCAGCAAACATTTCTTTATATCTAACCCACAGACTAAGCTCTATTCTGGGTGCTGTGAATGTAAAGTAGGTCCTTGCCTTTGATGTTAAAGACGAAGACACATAAGCAAGTCACTATAAATACAACATGGTGAATTCTCTGGTAAAGTACTATAGATGCAACAGAGCAAGAATAATTAAAGTTAGCCTGGGAAGCTGGAGAGTTCTTCAAAGAGGTGATTTGAGTGATTGCTGAAGGATGGGAATGACTGACAAGAGAAAGTATGGGAAGTGCGTTCTAGGCAGAGAAGAGTTTGAGCAGAAGCAAACTGGTGCCCAAGTCAGTGGTGTGACTGAGGAATGAGAAGCAAACAAGCATGACTGGAGAATAGGATATATATGGAGAGGAGTGATGGGAGGCAAGGCTGGTAAGACATAGGACAGGCCCGTGTTGCAAAGAGTTTCAAATAACATGCTAAAGAGTTTCAATTTTATTTTCTAGACAATAGGGAGCTATTAGCAGTTTTTACATAGAGTTGACCTAATCTACTCAGCGTTGAGAGATAACTCAGTAGGCTATATGATGGGTGGATTGGAGACCACTGAAATGGTCTAAGGGAGTGAGAGTAAGGGCCAGATTTTGGTCACAGGAATGTAGAAGAAATGATGGTTTAAGAGACAATTTGGTGTTAGAATTAACATGACTTGGTGACTGTTAATATGTGGCAGTGAGAAACAGAAAAACTAGGTCCGAGTTTTTTCATCTTAGGAAACTAGATAAATAGTCGTGCCATTTTCTGAGACCAGGAGGGGCGTGCATCTTCTGTAGGAAGTATGATGAGTTCACTATGGGATAGCCACGTGTAGGTGGTTAGTGGATAGTTGGAAATTCTGGTTTGGAACCCTGTGGGGCACCCTTTGGTGGAAGATTTAGTTTGGGTGTTCAGAACCGTATAAATGTGAGCTCAACTGAGGCAATTTTGAGGCAGAAGACCGTAGAAGCTTAGAAGAGCACAGACATTTTGAGACAGTTAAAGTTTAAGTGGCAGACGGAAGCAAATGTCCGCAGAAGGAAAATGAGAAAACTAGAAGATGAATAATGTGAGCTTGAAGGATGTCAGGTAGCAAAAGCCCAGGAATGAGTTTCAAGAGTGAGGGATTTATCTCCAGTGATGGATACTGTAGAGGTTGAAGATGGAGCAGAGGCTATTGGCTTTGGCAATTAGGATACCCCTGGTAACCTCTGAGAGAACAATGTTAATTGAATTATAAGGGTGGAAGCCAGAGAGCAGTAACTTGAAGACTTGGGGAATACAGTCAATGTCAAGAAGCATCAAGGAGGAGAGAATAAGAAAAGTAGCTTGAGAGAGAAGCTGGTTGCGAGGGAGATATTTTTTAGATGAGGAGGTTTGAGATTGCTTGTAGGCTGACAGAAAGGATTCAATAGAGAGGCAGAAATGGAAAATTTTAAAAATTGTTAGAAGTTTACAAAGCTGTTTTACTACTTTATCCTCAGACAAACCATGAAAGGTAGTATAGCTATTATTATCGCCCTGTTACAGACGAGAAAAGCTGAGACATTTCCCAAGGTCACAAAGTAAATAGTTTCCTTGTGACTCCTTCCAGATCTGTAGAGAAAGGAGAAATAATTTATGGAGTAGAAGCTGGGGAGGGATGATACGGCAAGGAATAGTAAAGACATAACTTTTTATAGCATATTGTTTTCACTGAAAAAAAGGGAAAGGTGGAGGTAAAGAATACGGAGAACTGGGAGGTGCATTAGAATGACTAAGCAGTAGATGATTAAAGCCCAGGATTGTGGTTCAGAGTGAAGAGGATAAAGAAAACTTTATCTTTCCTGATAGTTAGTTCCTAGTCGCTGTTAATAAGACATTTAGAAAGTTGTAAGAGTTTTCTCAGTTTATATCCAGCCTATCAAACCTCTGGGCTCTGAGCATAGCTTTTGGAACTTAAGCTTTTAAGAGAGCTAAAAAGTTTAGATACCTGGCTATCTATGTATGCCTCTCTTACAGGGATTTTAATTTTTTGATTTTTAAGGGAAAAAATGTTAGCTGCCAGCCTCACTGTTGGCATCATTTTTTCTGCAGGGCATTTTAGATTATCTGGATAATATATCCCCTCAGCAAATACGAAAACTCTTCAATGTTCTCAGCACACTGGCATTTAGTAAACAGAATGAAGCCAGCAGCCACATCCAGGTAAGAGGCAATATGTTGGGAAAGATTTTTTTTTTTTTTTTTTTGATGGAATCTCCCTCTGTTGCCCAGGCTAGAGTGCAGTGCATGATCTCGGCTCACTGCAACCTCCATCTCCTGGGTTGACACAATTGTCTTGCCTCAGCCTCCCGAGTAGCTGGGACTACAGGCGTGCGCCACCACACCCAGCTAATTATTTTGTATTTTTAGTAGAGAAGGGGTTTCACCATGTTAGCCAGGATGGTCTCGATCTCCTGACCTCGGGATCCGCCCACCTTGGCCTCTCAAAGTGTTGGGATTACAGACGTGAGCCACTGAGCCTGGCCTTTTTTTTTTTTTTTTTTTTTTTTTTTGTGACACGGAGTCTAGCTCTGTCACCCACACTGGAGTGCAGTGGCATGATCTCAGCTCCTGGGTTCAAGCAATTCTCCTGCCTCAGCCTCCCAAGTAGCTGGGACTACAGGCACATGCCGCTGCACCTAGCTAATTTTAGTATTTTTAGTGTTTTGTATTTTTAAACCTCTTTACTTGAAATTTGCTGGAAAAAAATAAGCAAATGATAGATTTGCTAGTGTGTATTAGTGGAAATGGAGTACACAGCCATAGTTCCAGCATTTTTTAAATTCTTACCACAAACATTAAGTGCCTATTCTGTGCCAGGCACTGATATATTAGATCCTCTGCCCTCAAAAAGCTTTGTCTATTAGGGTAGAGATGGGTCTGGGATCAGCTAACCATGAAACTGTTCAGGTTCTGAGTGCAGTGGGGACACAGAATTGCCTTGTTTTCTAAGAAACATCTCCATCTAATGTGAACTTCACATGGGCTTGTTTTTGGTTTGTGGACACCATTCGCTGAAAAAGCCAGGCTGTAATCCCAGCACTTTGGGAGGCCAAGGCAGGCGAATCACATGTGCCAGGAGTTTGAGACCAACCTGGGCACCATGGTGAAACCCCGTCTCTACAAAAACATACAAAAATTAGCCAGGTGTGGTGGCACACACCTGTAATCCTAGCTACTCAGGAGGCGGAGGTGGGAGGATCCATTGAGCCCAGGGAGTTGAGGCTACAGTGAGCCATGATTGTGCCACTGCTCTCCAGCCTGGGCAACAGAATGAGACTCTATCTCAAAATAAATAAATAAATAAATAAATAAATAAATAAATAAATAAAATAAAACAAAAGGAAGAGATTAGATTGGAATCATAACTTTAACTCGTTTGTATCTTTAGTGCTACCTTATGGCAGTAATTCATACTGGACTGTGACTTTGAACAACCAGCATATTTTTTTATCTCCCCTCCCACCCCTTTCTTGGATCCCCAATCAACACATTTTTTTAATTAAAAAATTTTTGGACTAGGTAATATACATGTGTCATACAAAATTCAAAACATATAGAAGGGTATCCAGTGAAAAATAACTCTCACTTCTTCTCAGTCCTCTAGGCACCTGGTTTGTCTCCTACAGGGGCAATCACTTTATAAGCTTCTGAGATGTTCTGAGAATTTACAAATTTGTATTTACCTGTAGTTTCCTTTCCCCTCTTGTTCTACATCTTACCTTCTGCATTTAGCAGTTTATTTGGGAGATTGCTTCTAATCAGTAATATAAAGCTACTTCATTATTTTATTTTATTTTTGAATTTTGATAAAATACACATAACATAAAATATACCATTTAAATTGTTTTTAAGGGTACAATTTAGTAGCAGTAAGTATATTCACAATGTTATACAACCATTACCACTATCCATTTCTAGAACTTTCTGATCATCCCAAACAAACTTTGTACCCATTAGGCAATAATTTGCCATCTTCCTCTCCCGACCTCCTGATAATCACTAATCACATTCTGTCTATGGATTTGTTCATTCTAGATGCTTCATATAAATGGAATCATACAATATGTATCTTTTTGTGCCTTGCTTATTTCACTTTAGCATAATATTTTCAAGGTTCATGTATGTTGTGGCATGCATCAGAACTTTATTCCGTATTACAGCTGTAATAATTCCATTCTTTGTTTTTGTTGTTGTTGTGTTTTGTTTTGTTTTGCTTTGTTGAGTCGGAGTCTCACTCTGTCGCCCAGGCTGGAGTGCATTGTCGTGATCTCAGCTCACTGCAACCTCTGCCTCCTGGGTTCAAGCAATTCTCTATCCTCAGCCTCCTGAGTAGCTGGGATTACAGGTGTGCACCATCACGCCTAGCTAATTTTTGTATTTTTAGTAGAGATGTGGTTTCACCATTTTGGCCAGGCTGGTCTCCTGACCTCAGGTGATCCACCTGCCTCGGCCTCCCAAAGTGCTAGGACTACAGGCGTGAGCCACTGCGCCCGGCCCCCATTCTTTGTTTATACCACATTTTGTTTATCCATTCATCCACTGATGGACACTTGAGTTGTTTCCACCTTTTGGTCATTTGAATAATGTTGCTGTGATCATTGGTTTACAAATATTTGTTTGAGTCCCTGTTTTCAGTTCTTTAGGGTATATATCTTAAGCATGGAATTGCTGGATCATATGATGACCATATATTTACCATTTTGAGAAACCACCAAACTGCTTTCCATAGCAGCTGCATAATTTTACATTCCCACCAACAATGTTTGTAGGTTCCAATTTCTCCATATCCTTGCCAACATTTATTTTCCATTCTTAAAAAATTTTGTTTTAATTTTAATTAATTAATTTATTTCTTAATAAATAAAAAATTATTTTTTTTAGATAGGGTCTTGCTCTGTCACCCAGGCTGCAGTGCAGTGGTGCGATCATAGTTCACTGCAGCCTCAAACTCCTGGGCTCAAGCAGTCTTCCTGCCTCAGCCTCCTGAGTACCTGGGACTACAGGTACCTGCCACCTCTCCTGGCCCTATTTTTTAATTATAATCATCCTGATGAGTACAAAGTGGTATCTCATTGTGGTTTGATTTGCATTTCCTAATGACTAATGATGTTAAGCATCTTTTCATGTACTTCTTGGCCATTTCTATATTTTTGTAGAAATGTCTATTCAAGTCCTTTACCCATTTTTTTTTGTTTGTTTGTTTTTGAGATGGGGTCTCACTCTGTCACACATGTTGGAGTGCAGTGGTGTGATCTTGGCTTACTGCAACCTCCACCTCCCAGGCTTAAGCGATCCTCCCACGTCAGCCTCCTGAGTAGCTGGGACCACAGGTGTGCACCACCATACTCAGCTAATTTTTTGTATTTTTGGTAGACATGAGGTTTCGTCATGTTACCCAGGCTGGTCTCGAACTCTTGAACTCAGGAGATCCACCCACCTCTGCCTCCCAAAGTGCTGGCATTACAGGTATGAGCCACTGTGCTCAGCCCTTTGCCCATTTTTAAACTGGGTTTTTGTCATTGTTGAGGTATAGGAGTTATTTATATATTCTGGATATTAATCCCTTATCAGATATATGATTTGCAAATATTTTCTCCCATTCTATGGGTTTTCACTCCCTTGATAGTGTCCTTTGATGCACTAAAGTATTTAGTTTCAATAAAGTCAAATTTATCTACTTTTTTTTTTTTTTTTTTTTGTGATGGAGTCTTGCTCTGTCACCAGGCTGGAGTGCAGTGGTGCGATCTCAGCTCACTGCAACCTCCACCTCCTGAGTTCAAGCGATTCTCCTGCCGCAGCCTACCGAGTAGCTGGGACTACGGGCGTGCACCACAATGCCCAGCTAATTTTTATATTTTTAGTAGAGATGGGGTTTCACCATGTTGGCCAAGATGGTCTTGATCTCTTGGCCTCACGATCTGCCTGCCTCAGCCTCCCAAAGTGCTGTGATTACAGATGTGAGCCACCACACCTGGCCTTATCTATTTTTTTTTTCATCTGTGGTTTTCTTTTTAATTATCTTAAGTCTTATGATCACACATAATGTTAAAATTTGTGTATATCTCCTCTACTTTAATCCTTTTAAGTTGGCAAAAGCACTATTTTCAATCACAAATACACAGCAGTTTCAGTTTTATGTTTCTGAATGGCTCCTTTAAAGACAATTCTAAATTATAACTTAGTTTGAGTTAGATCGTAAAGAATTCAAGAGTGAAGTTTAACTTGCTACTATTTTAAAAGCATGTGACTTTATAGATCATCTATAAAATGTGAGAAGTGTTAAATAATCTTTGACATTACACATAAACCACACTAAAATGCCTTTCAGTAAGTTAAAGAGACCATTTTAAATACAGGGAATTCTAATTAGATTGGCATAGTTAAGGCCAAAAATATAAACTAGACATTGCTCCCTTATTTATCTTCCACCCTTACCTTTAAGAGGCAAATGAACACAAAACACAGGTGAATCTTGCTTGGTTCTGAGACAATGAAGGAATTTCCTCAGTATTTAAATATATTCACATAACGAGTTATATAAATCTACATATAAAATCAGTCCCCATTAAGTTTTTGGTTTTGTTTTGTTTTGTTTTGTTTTATTTTGTTTGTTTTGAGATGGGGTCTTGCTCTGTCGCCCAGGCTAGAGTGCAGTGGCACAATCTCAGCTCACTGCAAACTCTGCCTTCTGGGTTCAAGCAATTCTCCTGTCTCAGCATCCCTAGTAGCTGGGATTACAGGTGCCCGCCACCATGCCCAGCTAATTTTTGTATTTTTAGTAGAGACAGAGTTTCACCTGATGTTGGCCAGGCCAGTCCCGAACTCTTGACCTCAAGTGATCTGCCCACCTCGGCCTCCCAAAATGCTGGGATTACAGGTGTGAGCTACTGCACCTGGCCTCCATTAAGTTTTAAGATAGCACTCACCATCTTTGTGAAAAGTTGAACATTACTAAGGAAGTCTAATCTTATCTTTAGAAGGGGTAAACAATGATAGCATTTACTGAATTGGAATTACTATTAAAATTCAAAAACAACATATTCATTTAACAACAAGCCAGTCTTAGTTTTAAATCATGACTACCCAACAAAATATTCTGTCAGTCATTCATGATCTGAATTCCTGTGTATGAGATCTATTAAAGTATGGAACACATAAAAAAGTCATGAGACATTTGTTTTGTAATAAATAAGGCAGTGGCCAATCATTACTCATTAGTAGCTTTTTTTTAGATAAGCTATCAAGTCTGCCCTGTCTGCCTTCTTAATGCTGGCAAAGATCAGTTTTCTTCCAGGGATGTACTTCTTGGGATTCTCCAAATCCTCCATCAGTGAGTGTATCCTCTCCCCAGGTGATGCCTTTGTTCTTCTTGGCGTCTGTGTAAGAGAATCCAATGGCCCAAAGAGACCATGGAGATTAGGCCCAGTCTTGTGCTTGCCTCTCTTTTCCACCGTGTGGCACTGGGCACACTTCTGAACAAAAATCTTCTTGCCTTTCTCAGCATCACCCATATTTAATTCTCTTTTTCATCGCTGGCGCCACAAAGGTTGCCACTCCAAAGCTGTACGACCCACTCTCTATCAATTTGTTTTCTTGTGTTGCTTGTCCTTTTGGTTGTCATGCTTAAGATACCGTTGCTGAATTCAAGGTCATGAAGATTTTCTTTTATTTTCTTCTAAGAGAAAATTTTAGCTCTTAAATTTAGGTCTTTGATCCACTTTTTGTTAATTTTTGTGTATAGTGTATTGTAAGGATTTAACTTCATTCTTTTGCACATGGATATCCAGTTTTTCCAGTGCCATTTGTTGAAAAGATGGTCCTTTCACCATTGAAATGATTTTGGAACCCTTGTCAAAAATCAATTTGTCACATATATGAAGGCTTATCTTTGAACTCTGTATTCTATTTCATTTGTCCATATGTCTGTCCTTCTGCCATCACCACACTGTTTTGACTACTGTAGCTTTGTATTAATATTGAAATCAGGAAGTGTGAGCCCTCCAACTTTGTTCTTTTTCAAGGTTTTGGCAATTTGGGGTCCCTTGAAATTCCATGTGAATTTTGGTATGAATCTTTCTATTTCTGCAAAACATGTTGTGGGACTTTGATAAGGATTGCATTGAATTACTTTGAATGGTATTTTCATCTTAACAATACTGAGTGTCTTCCAATCCACCAAGACAATAGCTCTTTCCATTTACTTATGTATTTAAAGTTTTTCAGCAATGTTTATTTTATTTTATTTTATTTTATTTTATTTTATTTTATTTTATTTCGAGACAGTGTCTGGCTCTGTCACCCAGGCTAGAGTACAGTGATGGGATCTTGGCTCACTGTATTCTTGACTTCCCAGGCTCAGGTGATCCTCTCACCCCAGCCTTCCACGTAGCCGGGACCACAGGCATGCACAACCACAGCTGGCTAATTTTTGTATTTTCTATAGAGATGAGGTTTTGCCATGTTACCCAGGCTGGTCTTGAACTCCTGGGTTCAAGCAATCTACCCGCCTCAGCCTCCCAAAGTGTTAGGGTGACAGGCATGAGCCACCACGGTTAGCCTTGCCTCCATGTTTAAATCTGTACCTAAGTATTTTATTCTAATTCATTATTTTAGCTGAGCAGTCATCAACATTATGATAATTTTCATATCCTTATAGAAATAATAACAATTAAAGCTATTATTATTGAATGTCTATCATGTGCCAGGCACTGTTCTAGAAGTTTTTTATAATTTATCTCTAATCCTTAAAACAACTTTCCGCATTTCACAGATGTAAAAATTAAAACTTGGAGAGATGAAATGACTTGCTAAAGACACACAGGGCTGGGTGTGGTGGCTCACACCTGTAATCCCAGCACTTTGGAAGGCCAAGGTGGGTGGATCACCTGAGGTCAGGAGTTCAAGACCAGCCTGGCTACCATAGTGAAACCCCGTCTCTACTAAAAATACAAAGTTAGCCAGGTGTGGTGCCAGGCACCTATAATCCCAGCTACCTGGGAGGCTGAGGGAGAATTGCCTGAACGCAGGAGGTGGAGGTTGCAGTGAGCTGAGATTGCGCCATTGCACTCTAGCCTGGACAATAAGAGCTAAACTCTGTCTCAAAACAAACAAACAAACAAACAAACAAACAAACAAAAAACAGTAAATGATAGAACCCTTTATAGTCTGGCTGTGTGGCTCAATATCCATACCTTCTTTTGCTGTGCAATTCCAGCGTTACCATCTTTCTTCATTATCTCATTGCAGGATGACATGCACTTGGTGATAAGAAAGCAGCTCTCTAGCACCATATTCAAGTACAAACTCATTGGGATTTTTGGTGCTGTCACCATGGCTGGCATCATGGTGGCAGACAGGTACACATGGAGATTCTGACTTCTGTGGTTTAAGATCAGTTAATCTTGCCAACTAACAGTGTTACATCGCATAGACATCATTTTAACAGTAGACGTCACAACTGTAAGAGAAATGAGCAGGCCAGGCTCGGTGGCTCACACCTGTAATCCCAGCACTTTGTGAGGCCGAGGTGGGCGGATCGCCTGAGGTCGGGAGTTTGGGACCAGCCTGACCAACATGGAGAAACCCTGTCTCTACTAAAAATACAAAATTAGTTGGGTGTGGTGGCGCATGCCTGTAATCCCAGCTACTCGGGAGGCTGAGGCAGGAGAATCACTTGAACCTGGGAGATGGAGGTTGCGGTGAGCCGAGATTGCGCCATTGCACTCCAGCCTGGGCAACAAGAGCGAAACTCAAAAAAAAAGTAAGAAAAAAGAGAAAATAAAAATATGTATAACAATCTTTTGCTCTAATCTGTATTTTGTATGGACAAAATAAATACTCTTCTCTGCCTTCATGTACCTTTATCTTTACCCTACCCTAGGGAAGTCAGAATTCTTAAACTTATTGGAAATTGTTACAAAATATTACAAAAGTGAAATTAAAATTCTTTGTTTTTAGAAGTGGATCATCTAGTTTGACCCAAGAGGTAGCCAACCTGAGTGATGAGCAGTGCACACATGTGAGTTCTTCTCTAAATATACAAAAAAAAGTTAGCCAGGCGTGGTGGCAGCCACCTGTAATCCTAGCTACTTGGGAGGCTGAGGCAGAGGATTGCTTGAACTTGGGAGGCAGAGGTTGCAGTGAGCCGAGATCATGCCACTGCACTCCAGCCTGGGCAACAAAGCGAGACTCCATCTCAAGAAAAGGCAAAAAAAAAAAAAAAAAAAAAAGAAGAAGAAGAAAAAGAAGTTTTACTGAACTCCTGTCTTTGTGGTTTTCTGATACTTGGAAACTACTGGCTTGGGTTGCATTTTTTTTTTTGAGATGGAGTCTCAACTCTGCCACCCAGGCTGGAGTGCAGGGGTGCCTCCCGGGTTCAAGCGATTCTGCCGCCTCAGCCTTCCAAGTAGCTGGGATCACAGGCATGCACCATCACGCCCAGCTAATTTCTGTGTTTTTGGTAGAGACGGGGTTTCACCATGTAGGGGTTTCGCCATGTTGCCCAGGCTGGTCTCAGACTCCTGATCTCAGGTGATCCGCCCCCCTCAGCCTCCCAAAGCACTGGGATTACGTATGTGAGCCACCATGCCCGGGCCGGTTGCATTTATTTCTATATCCATTCAATCTCTCCAATTAAATTATAAAGTCTTAGCAAGAAAGGTATGCCATATTTATGGCATAACACTTTGGTTGAAGCATGGGGACAAATAAGTGTATAACTGGAAAGTGGGACATAAAGCTAGTTCAGGCAGGGCACGGTGGCTCACGCCTGTAATCCCAGCACTTTGGGAGGCTGAGGCAGGAGGATCACTTGAGGTAAAGAGTTTGAGACCAGCCTGGCCAACAGGGTGAAATCTCATCTCTAATGAAAGTACAAAAAAATTACCCATGCATGGTGGCAGGCGCCTGTAGTCCCAGCTACTCAGGAGGCTGGGGCAAGAGAATTTATTGAATCCGGGAAGCGGCGGTTGCAGTGAGCCAAGATCGCTCCACTATACTCAGCCTGGATGGCAGAGCGAGACTCTATCTCAAAAGGAAAAAAGAAAAAGCTAGTTGAGAGAGAAAACAGAGAGCCTTGCATGTAAAGCAATACATTTTTATTTCATTCTTTAGGCAGAGGTATTCCTTAAGGGTTTCTTAGCATGGAAATGGCAAAATCGAAGCTTTACTTTAGAAAAATTAATCTGGCTGCAGTGTCTGGCAGATTGGAAAAGGGATGATATCAGAAAGAGACAGACGGGTCAGAACATTCAGGAAAACTTCAAGTGAGACATAGAGCTTTGCCAGTAAAATCAGAAAGTGAAAAAACAGTCTTGAATGGGGCGAGTGGAGTTTGGGAAAGATTGGCCGCCCAAGGTTTAAACCATTCTTCCTCTTTGCTCCAGGTGACCTCCTTGTTGCAGTTGGTTCATTCCTGCAGTGAGCAGTCTCCTCAGGCCTCTGCACTTTACTATGATGAATTTGCCAACCTGATCCAACATGAAAAGCTGGATCCAAAAGCCCTGGTAAAGGCCAATTGTCTTTTCTTAAAGCAATAAAGCATGAGAGCTGCTTTACTACACTCTTCAAGTCTTCTGTTGCAGTGTGAAAATAGATCATCCTGTGACCTCTCCTAAATTCTAACTGGGAAAGGCTTTTCTGCCCTACCCTGCCTCACGGCTCTTCTCTGAGGCCTCCTTCACTTAATAACAATCATAATAGTAAAGAAGAGATGGACTTTGTTAATGATGATGGCTATTATCTGTCTGAGAGCCCTGTTCTGTGCTAGGCCTTGTGATAAGTGCTTTTCGTGCACTCTCTCTTTTCTACTTCACAATAGTGAGATATTTATTATTACTTTCTTTTTAGAAATGAGGGAACTGAGACTTAGAAAGGTTAAGAGTAATTTATCTAGGGCTGTACAGCAAGTACACTCTGCACTGCCCTTTTTGTTTGTTTGCTTCCTGAAGGAATGGGTTGGGCATACCATCTGTAATGATTTCCAGGATGCCTTCGTAGTGGACTCCTGTGTTGTTCCGGAAGGGTAGGTATTTTTTACCTGCTGGCTTGGTTGTACTGGTGAAGTTACATCAATTCTGTCAGTAGCTGATACAAACTTCAGAATACCCTTCACCTCAGCCACGGCTGCCCAGTCCCACAGCTTCTTTCCTTCCAACCCCAGCACCCCTGCACCCTTAGCTCCAAAATTCCTAAAAGGTTCACTGTTTGTTCTTCTAATTTCTCCCCATGATGTTGTGTTTGAAATTGGTTTGCTTTAGTGGTTTTCCCTGTAGCCCTGCATATTCCTGAGCTGCAGCATCAGATTCTGGTTTTTCTCTGCAGTGACTTTCCATTTCCTGTGAAAGCACTGTACGGACTGGAAGAATACGACACTCAGGATGGGATCGCCATAAACCTCCTGCCGCTGCTGTTTTCTCAGGACTTTGCAAAAGATGGGGGTCTGGTGACCTCACAGGAATCAGGCCAAAAGTCAGTATAGTTTTTCTTTTCTAAACCTGTTAGTGTTCTGAATGTTCACGGGGAATTCCACAGTTCTTGGTGGGGAAGTTGAGTCAAAAAAGTTTCTCTCGGGACAAACGGTATTTGGAGAGGTTAGGGAGAATGGGGCAGATTCCTTGTTTTTTCTTGGATCCTTGGCTTGAGATTTATATTGCCTTGTGTGAGCCAACAGATATTCTAAGACTACTTTCTCTTCTGTTCCTTATTTTTTCCCTCCCTTGAACATCCTTTGCTACCTCTGTGTCTCTTACCTTCTCTTTCTATCTTATTTCTGGTTCTCCTAACACGTGGACTTTCACTCCTGATACCTCTGCCTTCCTACAATTCAGCTCATTATATTTATTTTCTTAATGGAGCATCCATTAAGTTCCTTGCCATTTTTTTCTTAAAAGTAGACATTTGTTTTGAGGAAAATTCTTAATAAGTTGGTGGCCGGGCATGGTGGCTCATGCCTGTAATGCCAGCACTTTGGGAGGCTGAGGCGGGTGGATCACTTGAGGCCAGGATTTGAGACCAGCCTGGCCAACATGGGAAAACCCTGTCTCTACTAAAAGTACAAAAATTAGCTGGGCATGGTGGCATGCGCCTGTAATCCCAGCTACTCAGGAGTCTGAGGCAGGAGAATCGCTTGAACCTGGGACGCAGAGGTTGCAGTGAGCCGAGATCGTGCCACTGCACTCCAGCCTGGGTGACAGAGCAAGACTGTCTCAAAAAAAGAAGTTGTGCTCCCTGTGTATGTGGAGTAATATCTCCCTATGTATGTGGAGTAATACACCTATGAAGTGTGGTCTAGAAATTTATTTTTCCTTCTCAGATTGGTATCTCCACTGTGCCTGGCTCCGTATTTCCAGTTACTGAGACTTTATGTGGAGAGACAGCATAATGGAAACTTGGAGGAGATTGACAGTCTACTAGGTATGGGATGAAGTCATCAGATCCTTTCTTCTTTATACTCTTCCTTTGGTAAACTTAGGGAAAGGGCAGATCAGTACATGGTATATATGGGGAGGAATTTTCTAACTTCAGCAGAATAGTTTATCATTGGAATTCCAAAGACAAAATAGTACAAACAGAATCCCATTATGTTAACAAATCAATTGTTGCAAAAACTTTCTAATTATATTTGTTGATTGCTATATGATATGCAAATATTTTAATCAGATCTTGGCCTTCAAATATGAGTTAAAGGGGAAAGTAAGTAGCAAGGAGAGCTAGCTCCAGAGGAAACCTCCAGGTTTTATTGGCTTGCACTAAAGGTAGTTGGAAATGTTTGTTCTCTCTCAGATTGTCCTATATTCCTAACTGACCTGGAGCCTGGAGAGAGGTTGGAGTCCATGTCTGCTAAAGAGCGTTCATTCATGTGTTCTCTCATATTTCTTATTCTCAGCTGGTTCCGAGAGGTGAGCAGAGTTAATAGGATATTTCACTTATTGTGCATAGTTTTTCTCAAAACTATTTTCTTAGTTCCCAGAAGACTCCCTAGAAGTCCTCACCAAGCACTAACCCCCGTGTGCTTCTCTAGCTGTTATGTCCCACCACTCCCCAGTTATATGAACCTCCGTAGGTAGCCAAATGAGAATACTTAGAATTCACTTCACATTGCCCATGCTTTATTTTCTCCAAGCTGCCTTCTGCCTAGAATGACCTTCTCACCTTCTTCACTGTGGAACTACTGTTCGTCCTGGCACAGGCATATGCCTACTGTCTTGATTCAGTGAGTGGTGGTAGTTTCCCTCCCATTAGAATGTATTTGTGTTTGGTGATAATGACAATGATGGCAACATCTTATATCTCTACCTCACTGTCTTCCTCTCACATATTATTTCAGGAATGTTTGTGCACTTGAATGAGCTTATTTGATTACCACATCTCTATTATGATGTGGGCAGGATAGGGATTGTCCTCATTTTACACATACTGAATTTCAAGTACAGGGAGTTCAAAGTCAATGAAAAAACTTTAAGTACTTACACTGTACCAAGTGCTGGACTCATTTCTTTATGTAGAAATACTTAGAAAGATTAAAGACTCAGCCAAGGTCACACAGTAAGTAGCAGTATAGAACTTGTTTCACCAAAGTATGTGCTCTCTGGCTATTCCGCCTTGTAACATAACTAGTAATAAGCAAAACTAGGATCAAAAGTCAAATCTCCTATTTTTTTCTTTTCTTTTTCTTTGAGACAGAGTCTTGCTCTGTCACCCAGGCTAGAGTGCAGTGGCCCAATCTCGGCTCACTGTAACCTCCGCCTCCCAGGTTCAAGCAATTCTCTCCTGCCCCAGCCTGTCCAGTAGCTGGCAGTACAGACATGTGCCACCATGCCCAGTTAATTTTTATATTTTTGGTAAAGATGGGCTTTCTCCATATTGGCCAGACTGGTCTCAAACTCCTGGCCTCAAGTGATCCTCCTGCCTCAGCCTCCCAAAGTGCTAGGATTACAGGCGTGAGCCACTGTGCCTGGCTGAATCTCCTATATTTTGGCCCAGAGATTTTTTTTCTCTACACCACCTTGCTGAGGACACTTCTATTATAGACTAAACTTAAAGATCCTGCTGTTCATAGACATCTCTCAGCTCTGGATAAATAATACAAACAAGGTTAAAATCTGAACATTTGAAAGTATGAGAATGTAATTGTACTTTGCAGATTGTGAATGCCTTCTGCCATGAAACATCACCTGAGATGAAGGGGAAGGTGCTCACCCGGTTAAAGCACATTGTAGAACTGCAAATAATCCTGGAAAAGTACTTGACAGATGAGGGAAGTGTCCTATACTGGTAGTCCTACTAGGACAGTAGTGAGGTGATAAAGCACTCAGCTTTCCCTGATAACCAGAACCAGACAAAGACACATCAAAAAAAGAAAATAGAAGCCAATATCCCTGATGAACATTGATACAAAAATCTTAACAAAATACTAGCAAACCTAATTCAGCAACACATTAAAAAGATTAGCCGGGCGCAGTGGCTCACACCTATAATCCCAGCACTTTGGGAGGCCAAGGCGGATGGATCACTTGAGATCAGGAGTTTGAGACCAGCCTGGCCAACATGGTGAAACCCCGTCTGTACTAAAAACACAAAAATTAGCTGGGCATTGTGGCACGCGGCTGTAGTCCCAGCTACTCAGGAGGCTGAGACAGGAGAATCACTTGAACCTGGGAGGCAGAGGTTGCGGTGAGCCAAGATCGCACCACTGAACTCCAGCCTGGGCGACAGAGCGAGATTCCTATCTCAAAAAAAAAAAAAAAATTATTCCTCATGACCAAATGGGATGATTTATCCTAGGGATGCAAGGATTGTTCAACATACGTTAATCAATGTGATACATCATATCAGCAAAATGAAGGACAAAAACCACATGATATTTAAATTGATGCTAAATTTTTTTTAATAAAACTCAACATCCCTTCATCAAAACTGGGTATAGAAGGAACACACCTCAACACTCTAAAAACCATATATGACAGACCCATAGCTACTATTAAATGGAACAGAGAAAAACTGAAAGGCTTTCCTCTAAGATCTGGAACTAGAAAGGATACCCACTTATATAATACCACTATTATACAACATAGTGTTGAAAGTCCTAGCTAGAACAATTAGACAAGAGAAAGAAAGGGCATCCAAATTGGAAAGGAAGATGTTAAATTATCCTTGTTTGCAGATGACATGATCTGATATTTGGAAAAGCCTAAAGACTCCACCAAAAAACTATTAGATAAACTCAGTAAAGTTGCAAGATACAAAGTCCTCATATAAAAACGAGTAGCATTTCTGTATGCCAACAACTAACAATCTGAAAAAGAAATCAAGAAAGTAATCCACTTACAATAGCTGCAAATAAAATAAACAATAGTTACAAATAAAATATCTAGGAATAAACTTAACCAAAGAAGTGAAAGATCTCTACAATGAAAACTCTGAAACATTGATGCAAGAAATTGAAGGGCACACAAAAAAAGGAAAGATACTTCATGTTTATGGATCAGATGAATTATTATTAAGATTTCCATACTACCCAATGCAATCTACAGATTCAAGGGCAATCCCCATCAAAATACCAATGACATTCTTCACAGAAATAGAAAAAAACTTAAAATTTATACAGAACCACAGAAGACCCAGAATAGCCAAAGCTGTCCTGAGTAAAATGAATGAAACTGGAGGGATCACATTACCTGACTTCAAATTATACTACAGAGCTATAGTAACCAAAACAGCATGGTGCTGGCATAAAAACAGATGCATAGACCAATGGAACAGAAGAGAGCCCAGAAATAAATCCACACACCTACAATGAACTCATTCTCAGCAAAGGTGCCAAGAATATACATTGGGGAAAGTTGCTTTCTTCAATAAATGGTGTGGGGAAAACTGGATATCCATATGCAGAAGAATGAAACTAGACCCCTATCTCTTGCCATATACAAAAATCAAAATGGATTATGGACTTAAATCTAAGACTTCAAATTATGAAACTACTAACAACAATAACAAAAAACATTCAGAAAACTCTTCAGGACATTAGAGTGGGCAGGACATTAGAGTGGGCAAAGATTTCTTGAGGAATATCCTACAAGCACAGGCAACCAAAGCAAAAAATGGACAAATGGGATCACGTTAAGTTAAAAAGTTAAGTTTCCTTCGTCTGCATAGCAAAGGAAACACCAAAGTGAAGAGACAACCCACAGAATGGGAGAAAATATTTGCAAACTACGTATCTGACAAGGGATTAATAACTGGAATATATAAGGACAGGAAAAAAATTTTATTCGGATTGAAAAATGGGTAAAAGGTCTGAATAGACATTTCTCAAAAGAAGACATACAAACGGTGGATATATGAAAAGGTGCTCAACATCACTGAGCATCAGAGAAATGCAAATCAAAACTGCCATGTGATGTCATCTCACCCTAGTTAAGATGGCTTTTATCCAAAAGACAGGCAATAACAGATGCTGGTGAGAATATGGAGAAAAGAGAACCTTTGTACACTGTTGGTGGGAATGTCAATTAGTACAAACACTGTGGAGAACAGTTAGGATGTTCCTCAAAAAATGAAAAATAGAACCACCATATGATCCAATGCCACTGGTAGGTATATACCCAAAGAAAGGAAATCAGTATACCAAGGAGATATCTGCACTCCCATGTTTATTGCAGCACTATTCACAATAGTCAAGATTTGGAAGCAACCTATGTGCCCATCAGCGGGTGAATGGATAAAATGTGGTCCATATACACAATGGAGTACTATTCAGCCATAAAAAAGAATGAGATCCTGTTGTTTGCAACAATACAGATGGAACTGGAGGACATTATGTTAAGTGAAATAGGCCAGGCACAACATATTTTCACATATTTGCGGGAGCTGAAAATTAAAACAATATAACTCACGAATATAGAGTAGAAGGATGGTTACCAGAGGCTGGGGAGGGTAATGGTGGTTGGGGGACTGGGAGAAATGGGGGTGGTTAATGGGTTCAAAAGTATAGTTAGATAGAATGAATAAGATCTAGTTGTTTTTGTTTTTTTGAGATGGAGTCTCGCTCTGTCACCCAGGCTGGAGTGCAGTGGCACAATCTCGGCTTACTGCAACTTTCGCTCCCCAGGTTCAAGCAATTCTCCTGCCTCAGCCTCCCGAGTAGCTGGGACTGGAGGCTGCACCACCACATCTGGCTAATTTTTGTACTTTTAGTAGAGATGGGATTTCACCATGCTGGCCAGGCTGGTCTCGAACTCCTGACCTCCAGTGAGCCACCTGCCTCAACCTCCCAAAGTGCTGGGATTACAGGCATGAGCCAGCGCACCCAGCCAAGACCTAGTTTTTGATAGCACAACAGGGTGACTACAGTCAACAATAACTTACTGTACATTTTAAAATAACTAAAATAGCATAATTATATTGTTTGTAACACAAAGGATAAATGCTTGAGGTGATGGATACCCCATTTACCGATGTGATTATTATGCATTGTGTGCCTGTATCAAAATATCTCATATACTCCATAAATATATACACCTTTCCTTTTTTTTTTTTTTTTTTTCGAGACAGGGTCTTGCTTTGTCGCCCAGGCTGGAGTGCGGTGGTGCAATCTCTGCTCACTACAACCTCTGCCTCCCAGGTTCAAGCAATTCTCCTGCCTCAGCCTACCTAGTAGCTGGCATTACAGATGCCTGCCACCGCACTTGGCTAATTTTTGTATTTCTGGTAGAGGCAGGGTTTCACCGTGTTGGCCAGGCTGGTCTCGAACTCCTGACCTCAGGTGATCCACGTGCTTCGACCTCCCAAAGTGCTTGGGATTACAGGTGTGAGCCACCCCGCCTAGACACAATTTAGATTTTAAATGTCTGTTTTAGTCCTTATCTGTGTGTTAGTTATATATGATTATTTACAGTGGTTTTATGATAATTGATCATACTTAATATGATATTTCTATGTTATCTCTGGCCATTTTGCTATGGCAAAACAATGTCAGATGGCTCGAATATGTCTTTTTTTTCTCTCTCTCTCTCTTTTGAGACAGAGTCTCACTCTGTTGCCCAGGCTGGAATGCAGTGGCACGATCTTGGCTCACTTCAAGCTTCGCCTCCCGGGTTCACACCATTCTCCTGCCTCAGCCTCTCGAGTAGCTGGGACTACAGGCGACTGCCACCATGCCTGGCTAATCTTTTTTTTTTTTACTTTTATTTTTTATTTTTAGTAGAGACGGGGTTTCACTGTGTTAGCCAGGATGGTCTCGATCTCCTGACCTTGTGATCCACCTGCCTCGGCCTCCCAAAGTGCTGGGATTACAGGTGTGGGCCACTGCGCCTGGCGACTTGAATATGTCTTATAAGCATTCAGCCACACTTGGTAATTTTGGAAACCAGTTTTTAGCCAATTGAGTGATTGAATTTCAAGTCTAATGGTGGTGTGTAATTGGTACACATTGAGCTTCAGCCTGCTGTTTGTTTCAGTCGCCCCAGACTATGTCCCTCCTCTTGGAAACTTCGATGTGGAAACTTTAGATATAACACTTCATACTGTTACTGCTATTTCAGCAAAAATCAGAAAGAGAGGAAAAATAAGCAAGTATGTTATTTTCCTCTTGTCTTCTGTCTCCAAATGAACTGCATTGAATTAACCTAAAAGTTATGTGTATCATGGCATCAGTAATTGGAGCAATTGTATAACTGAACCCTTTCTTTATTAGATTTATAAATACACTGTAATTTAGGGTTATAAAATTACCTCTTCTACTGCTAAGCAGTTTCCAACAGGTTGTTTTCTGAGGGCAATGATATTTGGCAAACATGATTATTAATTACTTGAGTCACTTTTCTCTTTTTAATATAAAAGAAAGGAACCAAAAAACAGATGGCAGCAAGACATCCTCCTCTGACACACTTTCAGAAGAGAAAAATTCAGAATGTGACCCTACGCCATCTCATAGAGGCCAGATGAACAAGGTACTGGAAAGATGGGTATCCATGAAGGTTTGTGACATCCAAATGAGTTTAACAGAAACCCAGCTTTATTCTCTGCATTTTACAAAGAAAAAAAAAATAGGAAACAGTGAGTCAAAACTCTCTTAGGCCTTGGAGTAATCTCCTTAGTAGCAAAGTTCAGATTAGACTTTAGGTCCTTATTCCTGCCACACACTGGTTGACTGGTTTTTTCTAATTATTTTCTTGACTATTTTACTCCCTTTTTGGTATCCCAGCAGTACATTGAATTCTCTCTTGAGGTACTTGATTATCAGTAGTTCCCTTTTACTTTACATTTGTACTGTTCGCAGAATGAGTTTCATGTGTTTGAAATTGCCTGGACCACATGGATCCCAATTATTTCTGTTGATCAGCCACCATTTATTGTATATTTATTAGGTATAGTTTCTGTAAGAGCCCAAGTTTCATATTAATACTACATTTAATAAAGGAGGAAACTAAGACCCAGGGAGGGCAAGTGACTTGCCCAAAGTCACACAGTTAATAAATGCTGGAGCTGGGGTTTGAAGCCAGATCATTCTGGCCCCTAAGCTCATAGTTTTCTATACTAGACGTTAATGCCTTGATTTGCCTAATAGATCATCCCTAAATAGAAACCAGCTAAGGGTCTTGATGTGTGACTTGTATCCCCATCTTTTTTTTTTTTATACTTTAAGTTCTAGGGTACATGTGCACAATGTGCAGGTTTGTTACATATGTATACATGTGCCATGTTGGTGTGCTGCACCTGTTAACTCGTCATTTACATTAGGTATTTCTCCTAATGCTACCCCTCCCCCCTTCCCCCACCCCACGACAGGCCCTGGTGTGTGATGTTCCCCACCCTATGTCCAAGTGTTCTCATTGTTCAATTCCCACGTATGAGTGAGAACATGCGGTGTTTGGTTTTCTGCCCTTGCAATAGTTTGATGAGAATGATGGTTTCCAGCTTCATCCATGTCCCTACAAAGGACATGAACTCATCATTTTTTATGGTGGCATAGTATTCCATGGTCTATATGTGCCACATTTTCTTAATCCAGTCTATCATTGATGGACATTTGGGTTGGTTCCAAGTCTTTGCTATTGAGAATAGTGCCACAATAAACATACATGTTCATGTGTCTTTATAGTAGCATGATTTATAATCCTTTGGGTATATACCCAGTAATGGGATCCCTGGGTCAAATGGTATTTCTAGTTCTAGATCCTTGAGGAATCGCCACACTGTCTTCCACAATGGTTGAACTAGTTTACACTCCCACCAACAGTGTAAAATTGTTCCTATTTCTCCACATCCTCTCCAGCACCTGTTATTTCCTGACTTTTTAATGATTACCATTCTAACTGGTGTGAGATGGTATCTCACTGTGGTTTTGATTTGCATTCTCTGATGGCCAGTGATGATGAGCATTTTTTCATGTGTCTGTTGGCTGCGTAAATGTCTTCTTTTGAGAAGGTCTGTTCATATCCTTCGCCCACTTTTTGATGGGGTTGATTTTTTCTTGTAAATTTGTTTAAGTTCTTTGTAGATTCTGGATATTAGCCCTTTGTCAGATGGGTAGATTGCAAAAATTGTCTCCCATTCTGTAGGTTGACTGTTCACTCTGATGGTAGTTTCTTTTGCTGTGCAGAAGCTCTTTGGTTTAATTAGATCCCATTTGTCTATTTTGGTTTTTGTTGCCATTGCTTTTGGTATTTTAGTCATGAAGTCCTTTCCCATGCCTGTGTCCTGAATGGTATTGCCTAGGTTTTCTTCTAGGGTTTTTACGGATTTAGGTCTAACATTTAAGTCTTTAATCCATGTTGAATTAATTTTTTTCCAAGATGTAAGGAAGGGATCCAGTTTCAGCTTTCTACATATGGCTAGCCAGTTTTTGAGCATCATTTATTAAATAGGGAATCTTTCCCCATTTCTTGTTTTTGTCAGGTTTGTCAAAGATCGGATGGTTGTAGATGTGTGGTATTATTTCTGAGGTCTCTGTTCAGTTCCATTGGTCTATATCTCTGTTTTGGTACCAGTACCATGCTGTTTTGGTTACTGTAGCCTTGTAGTATAGTTTGAAGTCAGGTAGCATGATGCCTCTAGCTTTGTTCTTTTTGCTTAGGATTGTCTTGGCAATGCAGGCTCTTTTTTGGTTCTATATGAACTTTAAAGTAGTTTTTTCGAATTCTGTGAAGAAAGTCATTCATAGCTTGATGGGGATGGCATTGAGTCTATAAATTACCTTGGGCAGTATGGTCATTTTCACGATATTGATTCTTCCTACCCATGAGCATGGAATGTTCTTCCATTTGTTTGTGTCGTCTTTTATTTCATTGAGCACTGGTTTGTAGTTCTCCTTGAAGAGGTCCTTCACATCCCGTGTAAGTTGGATTCCTAGGTATTTTATTCTTTTTGTAGCAATTGTGAATGGGAGTTCACTCATGATTTGGCTCTCTGTTTGTCTGTTATGGGTCTATAGGAATGCTTGGGAGTTTTGCACATTGATTTTGTATCCTGAGATTTTGCTGAAGTTGCTTATAAACTTAAGGAGATTTTGGGCTGAGACGATGGGGTTTTCTAAATATACAATCATGTCATCTGCAAAGAGGGATAAATTGACTTCCTCTTTTCCTATTGAATTAGGAATTCCTAATTGAATACCCTTTACTTCCTTCTCCTGCCTGATTGCCCTGGCCAGAACTTCCAATACTGTGTTGAATAGGAGTGGTGAGAGAGGACATCCCTGTCTTGTACCAGTTTTCAAAGGGAATGCTTCCAGTTTTTGCTCAGTCAGTATGTATTGTCTGTGGGTTTGTCATAGATAGCTCTTATTATTTTGAGATACGTCCCATCCACACCTAGTTTATGGAGAGTTTTTAGCATGAAGGGCTGTTGAATTTTGTCAAAGGCCTTTTCTGCATCTATTGAGATAATCATGTGGTTTTTGTCTTTGGTTCTGTTTATATCATGGATTACATTTATTGATTTGTGTATGTTGAACCAGGTTTGCATCCCAAGGATGAAGCCAACTTGATCGTGGTGGATAAGCTTTTTTGATGTGCTGCTGGATTCGGTTTGCCAGTATTTTAGTGAGGATTTTTGCATTGATGTTCATCAGGGATATTGGTCTAAAATTCTCTTTTTGTTGTTGTTGTGTTTCTGCCAGGCTTTGGTATCAGGATGATGTTGACCTCATAAAATGAGTTAGGGAGGACTCCTTCTTTTTCTATTGATTGGAATAGTTTCAGAAGGAATGGTACCAGCTCCTCTTTGTACCTCTGGTAGAATTTGGCCGTGACTCCCAGTAGGGGCCAACTGACACCTCATAAAGCTGGGTGCCCCTGAGAGACGAAGCTTCCAGAGGAAGGATCAGGCGGCAACATTTGCTGTTCTGCAATATTTGCTGTTCTGCAGCCTCCACTGGTGATACCCAGGAAAACAATGTCTGGAGTGGACCTCCAGCAAACTCCAACAGACCCGCAGCTGAGGGACCTCACTGTTAGAAGGAAAACTAACAAACAGAAAGGAATAGCATCAACAGCAACAAAAGGACATACACACCAAAACCCTATCTGCAGGTCACCATCATCAAAGACCAAAGGTAGATAAAACCACAAAGATAGGGAGAAATCAGAACAGAAAAGCTGAAAATTCTAAAAACCCCAGAGCGCCTCTTCTCCTCCAAAGGATCGCAGCTCCTCGCCAGCAACAGAACAAAGCTGGACGGAGAATGACTTTGACGAGTTGACAGAAGTAGGCTTCAGAAGGTCGGTAATAACAAACTTCTCCAAGCTAAAGGAGGATGTTGAACCCATTGCAAGGAAGCTAAAAACCTTGAAAAAAGACTAGAAGAATGGCTAACTAGAATAAACAGCATAGAGAAGGCCTTAAATGACCTGATGGAGCTGAAAACCATGTCACGAGAACTACGTGACACATGCACAAGCTTCAGTAGCCGATTTGATCAAGTGGAAGAAAGGGTATCAGTGATTGAAGATCAAATGAATGAATGAAGCAAGAAGAGAAGTTTAGAGAGAAAAGAGTAAAAAGAAACAAACAAAGCCTCCAAGAAATGTGGGACTATGTGAAAAGACCAAATCTACATCTGATTGGTGTACCTGAAAGTGACAGGGAGAATGGAACCAAGCTGGAAAACACTCTTCAGGATATTATCCAGGAGAACTTCCCCAACCTAGCAAGGCAGGCCAACATTCAAATTCAGGAAATACAGAGAACACCACAAAGATACTCCTCGAGAAGAGCAACCCCAAACACATAATTGTCGGATTCACCAAGGTTGAAATGAAGGAAAAAATGTTAAGGGCAGCCAGAGAGAAAGGTCAGTTTCCAGCAAAGGGAAGCCCATCAGACTAACAGCAGAAACTCTACAAGCCAGAAGAGAGTGGGATCTCTCAGCAGAAACTCTACAAACCAGAAGAGAGTGGGGGCTGATATTCAACATTCTTAAAGAAAAGAATTTTCAACCCAGAATTTCATATCCAGCCAAACTAAGCTTCATAAGTGAAGGAGAAATAAAATCCTTTACAGACAAGCAAATGCTGAGAGATTTTGTCACCACCAGGCCTGCCTTACAGGAGCTCCTGAAGGAAGCACTAAACATGGAAAGGAACAATTGGTATCAGCCACTGCAAAAACATGCCAAATTGTAAAGACCATCAATGCTAGGAAGAAACTACATCAACTAACGAGCAAAATAACCAGCTAACATCATAATGACAGGATCTAATTCACACATAACAATATTAACCTTGAATGTAAATGGACTAAATGCCCCAATTAAAAGACACAGACTGGCAAGTTGGATAAAGAGTCAAGACCCATCAGTGTGCTGTATTCAGGAGACCCATCTCACGTGCAGAGACACACATAGGCTCAAAAGAAAGGGATGGAGGAAGATCTACCAGGCAAATGGAAAACAAAAAAAAAAGCAGGGATTGCAATCCTAGTCTCTGATAAAACAGACTTTAAACCAACAAAGATCAAAAGAGACACAGAAGGCCATTGCATAATGGTAAAGGGATCAATTCAACAGGAAGAGCTAACTATCCTAAATATATATGCACCCAATACAGGAGCACCCAGATTCATAAAGCAAGTCCTTAGAGACCTACAAAGAGACTTAGACTCCCATACAATAATAATGGGAGACTTTAACACCCCACTGTCAACATTAGACAGATCAATGAGACAGAAAGTTAACAAGGATATCCACGACTTGAACTCAGCTCTCACCAAGCAGACCTAATAGATATCTACAGAACTCTCCACCCCAAATCAACAGAATATACATTCTTCTCAGCACTACATCACACTTACTCCAAAATTGAGCACATAGTTGGAAGTAAAGCACTCCTCAGCAAATATAAAAGAACAGAAATCACAATAAACTGTCTCTCAGACCACAGTGCAATCAAATTAGAACTCAGGATTAAGAAACTCACTCAAAACCGTACAACTACATGGAAACTGAACAACCTGCTCCTGAATGACTACTAGGTACATAACAAAATGAAGGCAGAAATAAAGATGTTCTTTGAAACCAATGAGAACAAAGACATAATGTACCAGAATCTCTGGGACACATTTAAAGCAGTGTGTAGAGGGACATTTATAGCACTAAATGCCCACAAGAGAAAGCAGGAAAGGTCTAAAATTGACACCCTAACATCACAATTAAAAGAACTAGAGAAGCAAGAGCAAACACATTCAAAAGCTAGCAGAAGGCAAGAAATAACTAAGATCAGGGAGGAACTGAAGGAGATAGAGACACAAAAAGCCCTTCAAAAATCAATGAATCCAGGAGCTGGTTTTTTGAAAAGATCAACAAAATAGACTGTTAGCAAGATTAATAAAGAAGAAAAGAGAGAAGAATCAAATAGATGCAATAAAAAATGATAAAGGGGTATCACCACCGATCCCACAGAAATACAAACTACTGTCAGGGAATACTATAAACACCTCTACACAAATAAACTTGAAAATCTAGAAGAAATGGATAAATTCCTGGACACATACACCCTCCCAAGATTAAACCAGGAAGAAGTTGAATCCCCGAATAGAACAATAACAGGCTCTGAAATTGAGGCAATAATTAATAGCCTACCAACCGAAAAAAGTCCAGGACCAGATGGATTCACAGCTGAATTGTATCCCCATCTTAAATTAGGTGCTCTGTCTTGGGAATATTTAGGGACTTTGGCTAGAGGAAGTTGTTGTTATAATGAAAATGTAATCTTTTGCATTAAAGAAATGCATATTTGCCCCCGCCCCCGCCACATCATGAACCTCCCCACCAGAGTGTGCACCTGTTACGCTCTGGAAGCCTGCAGGACACCTCAGTATCACCCAGAGTCCCCAGTTTCCACGCGGGCTCACTCTTGCTGTTGCACAGTCTGTGGGTTTGGACAGATTCATAATGACCCTTAGCCACCATTACAGCATCACACAGAATAGTGTCACTGCCCTATAAGTCCTCTGTGCTCTGCCTGTTCAGCCCTCTCTCCCCCAGTCTTTCTTTTTTTAATTGTAAATTTTGGGATAATTTTAGATTTATGGGACAATTTCAGAGCTAATATGGAAGGGTTCCTGTAAACCATCAGGCAGCCTCCCCTAATACCGGCATCGCAGGTAACCAGGTGTATTTGTCACAGTAAGAGGTTACCATTGGTACCTGACTACGCACTAAACTCTAGACGATTTCAGCTTCACCGGTTTTTCCACGAAGGTCCTTTTTCTGTCCCCAGATGGAATCCAGGACCCTGCGTTTTATGGATTTGTCGAGCCTCGTTAGTCTCCTCTGCCGCATGTGACTTTTCTAATTTGTCCTTGTTTCCACATTCTGTTTTGTGTGCTTGTGTGTGGGAAGTTTAACGCCCTACAAAAAACACCACAGGGCTCTGGTACTGCCAACAGTTGGACACAGTGTTTCCAGCGGGTATGGGCCGTGTTCACAGGCACCTGCTTCCCGTCTCCCGTGTGCGCTTGTGCCTGCTTTGCTGTCTTCTGGGAGTCTGTGCCGTGCTATTTTCTTGGAAGAAATCCACGAGGGGCCACAGACGCACTTCTCTGGGCATAGATTGCTTTCCTTCACTGATTTTCCATGAACTTCCAGTAGAGGTGGTCCAGGCTATAAGGTCCGTCTGCAGGCCACGCGTGGCCGGGCGGTGTTGGAGTAGTCGGCGTGCTCAGGTGTGTTGGAGGGCTGGCCCCCTGTGCCAGCCTGGCCTGGAGAGACACTTGGCATCCAGCCAGAAGGTGGAACGTCTGTCTGGTTGTGTTCCACACCATTGCTTTTTGACACCAGGCAGTTTCTGAAAAGTCTCCTTCAGAATACCCCAGGCTGTGTATGTGCCAGTGAATTTAGGCAAAGTTGAGGAGGATGAGGAAACCCTGGAGTGTCTGCTCTGTGTCAGGTGCTATGCTGGGTGCGGCCCGAGAGACAAGCACCAGGCACTGCTCAGTGGCTCCTCCTGGGGCCTTGGTCACACTGTAAGCTGAGTGCAGCAGGGCCGGCCGCTTCCTATGGCCCTGCCTCACCCCAGGTCCTGCATTCCCTGGGAGGCTTCATACTCCACCTTTGCGCCAGGCCTGAGTGCCCATCTGCAGACAGCATGTACTAGCTGGGAACGCTCAGTGTGGAGTCTGCTGTCCTCTGCCGCTCATCCCCCTCTCATCTGGGCCTGGGGCTGTTATCCCAGTCCATGCCTAAGAAATCAAGGCACTGACACCAGATAGCTACCCGCCCCCACCACCCCAAACACACACGCATACACACACTTCGCTTCCTCCTGTAATCCCCACTAGGGAAATTGGCTCACAGACTGTCCAGGCTCATTTGCGGATGTGTTTATTTGCCTGTGTCCCCACCATAGCTATAATGTGTGCTCCGCAGGTGCTGAGAGCTCGTGCTCTCATTACAGGCAGTGATTTCCAGGATTAGTAGAACCTGTTGGGGTTGGAAGCGGACACCTGGAGCTTGCTGTGTGCCTGGCCTGGGTTAGAGGTCGGCCAAGATGCCTGTGCCCCCTCCCTGTGCCACGTGTCCCCTCACGGGATCCCTTGAGCAGCTTTCCTGCTGGTACTGAACGACTCCCACATCTGCAGGAGTCTTGGACGGTGGCCATCTGTTGAGCCTTGAGGTCATTTCCAGGTGTGAGGTCTCCTGTTTGATTTGCTCCATGGGAACTGTGTGCACAGGCCTGGAGCCCTCACCTTGTGGAGGTCTTAACTGGAGAGGCCTCGGCAGGGCCCCACGTCTCCTCTGGGTTTGAAGCTGGTGTTAGGCGGCCCACCTCACTTCTGTCTTTGGGTCCAGCACTGTGCCCTAGACGGGAGCTACAGCCTGGTGTCTGGACCCCACTGTGCCTTGCAGTGCAGCTCCAGAGAGTAAATGCTGTCTTCTTCCACTGCAGGTTGTCCACCCGGCCGGAGGTGGCCAGCATCGAGTCGCTGGGCCTGGACGAGCAGCAGTGCTCCCAGAAGGCGGTGGTGCAGGCCCACCTGACCCAGCCTGCCCGACTCACCAGCATCATCTTTGCAGAGGACATCAGTAAGGGCTGACTGCCCTTACAGGCATAAGCCACCTCGCTCAGCCTATTTGTAAGGCTTTTGATACATGGGACTTATTGCTTTCCAACAAAACAATCTTAACAATGCATAAGTACCTGGAGAAGAGTCAGAAAAATGTTGTATCCTGCTGCTATCCTTACATTTGAGAATTCCCCGGGTAATGCCATTCATGTACCTTTTTTATGGAGCAAGTAAAAACCATCTGTATGAGTGTCCATGTGCCCCTTCTACATTATACTTGATAATCATATAAATACACCATCATAGGCCAGGCGCAATGTCTCACACCTGTAATCCTAGCACTTTGGGAGGCCAAGGCAGGAGGATTACTTGAGCTTAGGAGTATAAGACCAGCCTATGCCACAAAGCAAGACCTTAACTCTATAAAAAAGTTTTTAAAAATTAGCCAGGCATGGTGATGTATGCATGCTTGTGGTCCCAGATACTAGGGAGGCCAAGGCAGGAGAATCAGTTGACTCCGGGAGCCACTGCACTCCAGCCTGGGCAACAAATTGAGACCCTGTCGCAAAAGAAACAAAAATAAACAAAATCACCAGTGTAATTCCTAATCTCAGTGGAGGGACAGGGCTCTCATCTTTGGGACGGGAACTCATCCATATTGTAGCACTTGTCACTTCACTGAATGGTTACACCCTGAACAAAATGAAGTTTTCCTGGAGTTTTCTTTGCCCACAGCTTTAAATGCTGATTCCCCGCTGGAAAAGCCAGACCAGGTGGTGACAAGGCCCCCACAGCCCTTCCTTTCTGGTAGTCCCTGTTAACTTTCAGTGGGGCCACGTGCGAGGCAGCTGCTTGGCTTCTGAGGGTGAGGCTGGTGGTCGCTGTGGTCTTTGCCAAAGTGTAAGTCTGCAAGGCTTGGAGGTGGCGCCAGGGGCAGCTGCTGTCTTCAGTGCTGACTTCTCCCTGGGGTTCCTCCAGCCACAGACCAGGTCCTGCACTGTGACGCCACCGTGGACCTCATCCCCGGCATCCAGATCGTCTCCACCACCCGCAAGCTCAACCTGGAGGACTCCCCCCTGGAGCTGAAGATCCAGGCCCTGGACTCTGAGGGTGAGGACGTCCCCCTGCCTGTTTGTCCTCTGCAGCCCATGCTGGATTGTCCCTCTCCTCTGAACCTGGCCTCTCTGTGTTCCCCACTCCTCTGGCATCCAACCCTGCAGGTCCCCTAGAGGGCAGCTTCAGTCAGGGAGGTGAAGGTGCTGCTGGCGGAGGTGCTGAAGAGGCAGAACCCACCTGTGAGGTGGGCCCCAAGCCCTGGGTAGAATCGAGCCTGGCGCTCAGGGGCCCCTGCAGCAGGGTCTGTGTGCTCAGAGCTGTGGCGGACCCTGGAGCCAGACCCTGCTGGTCACAGCGCTGGTCCTTGGTGCAGCACATCTTGGGGAAGCCAACATTCTCAGCCATGATGAGAGGCTAGGAGAGGCTGGCTGGGGCCATGCCTCCTGCTCCGGCTTTCGGGGCAGGTTTTGCTTCCTGGTCCAGACCTTAGAGCCAGTGTGCCAGGCAGGGAAGGTCCTTTTATTCTGGAGGAGACTGAAGCATGGAGTGGGGTGAGATTCAGGGTGTACAGGTCCCTGCCTGTCAGCATGGGATTCACCTTTTTTCTCTAAGCAGAGGGAAGCTGAGGAAAGGGTGGGTGCAGAAGGTGATGGGATCCTGTCTGCAGGGTTTATGGGGAGTATAAGCTGTTCTTGGGAGCAGAATGAGCAAAGTTTGAGTCCACCTTGCGGCCAGGCATTCCTACGGGCACTTCACACACCCTAGCTCATTTCCCGTATGGCGACTGGACGATGCATAGAGAATGAACACACCCACACGCTCACCCGAGTGTGCACACACAGAACCCACACGCTCGCCAGAGTGTGCACACACACAGAGAACCCACACGCTCACCCGAGTGTGCACACACAGAGAACCCACACGCTCGCCAGAGTGTGCACACAGAGAACCCACACGCTCGCCAGAGTGTGCACACACACAGAGAACCCACACGCTCACCCGAGTGTGCACACACAGAACCCACACGCTCACCCGAGTGTGCACACACAGAGAACCCACACGCTCACCCGAGTGTGCACACACAGAACCCACACGCTCACCCGAGTGTGCACACACAGAGAACCCACACGCTCACCCGAGTGTGCACACACAGAACCCACACGCTCACCCGAGTGTGCACACACAGAGAACCCACACGCTCACCCGAGTGTGCACACACAGAACCCACACGCTCACCCGAGTGTGCACACACAGAGAACCCACACGCTCGCCAGAGTGTGCACACACACAGAGAACCCACACGCTCACCCGAGTGTGCACACACAGAGAACCCACACGCTCGCCAGAGTGTGCACACACACAGAACAGATGTGGAGCTAATATGCAGCCGAGCCTGGCCCCAGAGTTTACCCTCCTAGGCAGGGGGTGGCAAACTTCTGTGGAGGGCTGGATGTAAATATTGTGGGCTTTCCTGGCCACATGGTGTCTGTGGCAACTCAGCTCTGCCATTGTCCCACTACAGCAGCCTTAGATGATGTGGAAATGAATGGGCATGGCTATGTTCTAATAAAACTTTATTTATAGAAATAGGGGGCTAGATTTGCCCCAGGAGCTGTAGTTTGCACTTCCTGTTCATGACTACTCTGTTCTGTTTCCTGCCTAAGTCACTTTTTAAAAAATAGGTATTTATTTTTATCAACATTTGTATCACATGAAATTCACCCATTTTAAGGATACTATTCAGCATTTTTTGGTAGATTCATACAGCTGTGCAACCATCACCAATATCCAATTTCAGAACATTTTCATCACCCCAAAAGGAAGCTCCATACTCACTGCAGTCACTCCCTCTTCTCTCCTCTCTCCAGCCCCTGATAACCACGAATCTGCTTTCTGTCTCTTTGCATTTGCCTGTTCTGGACGTTTCATGGGAATAGAATCGCACAGTGCATGCAGCCATATACATCCATGCGTACAGTGTTTGGTGACTTGTTTCTCTCACTGAGCACGTTTTCAAAGTTCATCTGTGTTGTTGCGTGTGTCCACGCTTTGTTCCTTTGTGTTGCCACATAACTTTCCATTGCAGGGATCAACTGCGTTTTGCTTCGCTGTTCATCCTTTGATGGACTCGGGTTGTTCTTACATTTTGGTGGTTATGAGTAATGGTGCTGTGAGCATTCACATGTGGATGTGTGTTTTCCGGTCTCTTGGGTAGACATGGAGGAGTGGAACTGCTGGGGCGTAGGAAAACTCTGTGTTTAACTGTTCGGGAGCTGCCAGGTGGTTTCCCAAGTGGCTGCCCCTTTTCAGATTCCCAGGGGCAGTGTGTGAAGGTGCCACCATCTCCATGTCCTGGCCAGCACTTGCTATGGCTCATTCTCGTGGTTCTAGTTAAGCCCATTTAAAGTCACTTCTTTCCTGAGTGTGCATCTGTTCTCCCCAGGCGGGTGGTGGGGATGTCAGGACTGGGGAGGCGCCTGCTCTGGGCCTTCCCTGGCCACCATCATGCCACGACGTCCCAGCAACCCTGGTGGTTTTCTCTTACACTCCCCCCACTCCTGAAGGGTTGATGGCACCTGCATCCAGTTCCAGAGTAGGATGTCATCTGGTCTCCAAAGACTAGCTCATTTACCAGCAGCCCATCTCAAGGCCCCACCTTTGCAGCAAGGAAATGGTTAACTCCCTTGTTTGCCCACTATGAGGGTGTCATGCTTTCTACTTGGTCCTCCTTGCCCCGAAATACTTTGATGAGTATTTTTGTCATCCCTTTTGCCTTTTTTTTCTGAGCCTGCAACCTCTTTTCTGGTCAGAGTCTCCATTGTGAAGATGAACTTGACCCTTGGAAGCTTTTAGAGTCTGGCAGTCCCAGAAAGGATGTGCCTTATCTAGATTGATGAGTGTCAAGAAAGAGAATTGCTGAATAAACTGTGGTAGGTGGCTGCCCCTGGGTGTCGGGAAGTGTGCTATTCCCTTAGTAAGTACAGTGTCTTATTGTGCTTATAAATGGTCTGATGCCCACTATATAGATGAGGAAGCTGAGGCCCAGAGAGCTTCAGTAACTTGCCCACGGTCACACAGCTCATGGGTGGCTGAGCAGGGGCTGGGATCCAGGATGTCTGACTCTGTCGCCTGAGCTCTTTCCCACTGGATGCACTGCCTGTCTCCTACTGCTGCATTTTCCTGGGCATTGGGGGCCCTCCCCACGTGGCTGGGATCTGCCTTTTTGGCCAGAAGCCACCTGCAGAGTGCCTGCCTCCAGTCAGTGTTGTCATAGCTATTTCCTGGCCCACCCATGGCTCTTGTATCAGCAGAACTGGACTAGCTCAGGGTCTCTAAAGATGCGCCTTCCTCACCTTTCCTTTTGCCACCTCTTCTGCCTGGAGCACCTTCCCCTCCTGAACTCTGCTTTCAGAAGCCATGCTTCCTCTGGCATTGCCTCTCAGGTGTCCCCTCCTCCAGGGAGCCCTCCTTGGCTGCCCAAGGTGGGACTTGTTCTTCCCTTCGATGTCCCTCAGCTTTGCAGTGGCCCCTGCCCTAGGGTACAAGGACATTTTCTACTGTGGCTTGTCAAGGTCAGCACTAGGAGGACAGAACTAGGATCAGTAAATTCTTTTGGACCCTTCTGTGTCTCACACTGGATTTTGGGCCCAGCCGGCATTGGGTAAATGTTTGCTAGGTTGAATTACCTAACATTTTCCTTCAGCTCTCCTGCAGGACAGGGGAGGTGGATCCTCTGGAGACTGGACCCCTGGCTTTCCTGGATAATATCTAAACTTGACTGTGAGGCTTTAAGGTCTAGGGCTCTGTCTGTTGCACATACTAGGTACTGATAGCTTCTTCTAGGGTGGAAAAAGCAAACTTTGGGCAGAGGTTTCCTGAGAGCTTTACCTGTCCCCTTGTCTCTCTTAGGGGCACTCACCTGCAGCAGGCCTGGGAAGGCAAACTCCTTGCCTTGATTTCCCCAGAGCCCACGCAGGCAGGTAACATTAAGGATGGTAACATTAAGATCACGAACTTTGGCTTCGGTACCACATTCCATGAGGAACAGCTGATAGCCCTTTATGGCACCTACCACTACATGGCCCTGAACTCTTCCTGGGCCAGGGCTCCCAATGCCCCGCCATGAATGTTTGGAGCCTTGGAATAACGTTATATCACATGGTGGGCAAAGTTCTGCCCTTCTGCTCAGGCAGCGTTACGGTCTTCACGGCAAAAATTTAAAATGGAAGATATTTTTCCCCATTGTATTTTTCCCAAGGTCTCAAAAGCCTCAATAATAAACTATTAAGAGTAGACCCCAGGAAGCAGACAGCACTAGAAGAAGTGATGAGGGACCTGTGGGTGAACAGTGGCCAGGAGTTGCCTCTGACAACATATGAAGAACAAATCCTGGACCACTTATACCCCAAAACAACCCAGCTCTTGGTGGCCATGGGATTCCAGGCCGAGAACCTATCCATGGCAATCAAAGAAGAATTGTTCAGTTTTCCCATGGCCTCCTACATTATTTTGGAAGAAACAAAACGAAAGAAGCAGTTTACTATCAGACCACAGTCCCTTCCTTTTGGGGTTCCCAACTGTTTTTCCCTATCCATTGAAGTTTCCACCTTTTTTCTCCCACTGAAGTGGACTCATAGCATTCAGCAGAAGAGCCCCTTTCTGGCCAGTGCACCTGCTGGCGTGCAGAGAAGCCAGAGAGCTTTAATCAAGCCCCCCCAGTGTGATCCTGTGGCGTCTCTTTTCATTCAGCGCACCAGCAGCAGTGGTGGAGACCCAGAAATATTCCTGGCTTAACAAGCCCCCCAGCATGACCCTGTGGCCTTTCCCTTCACCCAGAGCACCAGCAGCAGTGGTGCAGACCCAGAAACTACCCAGGCTTAACAAGGGCCCCAGCATGACCCTGTGGGCTTCCCCTTCACCCAGAACACCAGCAGCAGTGGTGGAGACCCAGAAACGTCCCTGGCTCAACAAGCCTTCCAGTATCAGCCTGTGGCCTTCTTCTCCACCCAGAGCACCAGTAGCAGTGGCGGAGACCCAGAAACGTCCCTGACACAGCAACAACCATCCCAGGACGCCAGCGTCATTCAAGCTGGGCAGGCTGAGGCTGTGATGTCAGCCTCGCCAACAAGAAGCTGGCACTCACCACAGGGCTGCCAGGATATCGCATTTCCATTATTTTAAAATGTTTTTGCCTGTGTCCACCACAGAAAAGGAGGAACTAGATGACCCCAACATAGTTGCATGGCTGAAGACAAAAATCAAGTAGGTAGGGTCAGTATTGTGAGCATAGTCACTACACTTAGAGTAGTTTTATAGTCAGTGTAGAGCGGTGGTACCAGGGAGCAGGGATCCGCCTCCACTCCACCTGACCAGGAGCTCCAGAATTGTAAAATCCTGGACACCATCGGCTGTGGCACGTTCAGTGAGGTCAAACTGACTCCTCACGTGCTGACTGGGACCCAGGTGGCCATCGAAATCATACCTAAGGCTGGCTCCCCCGGCATCACTCTCTAGAGAGAGAGAGAAGTATTTTGAAGTCTCTCTGCCACTTCAGTATTGTACAATGATATCAACTGATTGACACCTCCATCATGCGTTATTTATTTAGTAACAGAGTGTGCAAGAGGAGAAGACCTGCACAACCGATACACCACCGCGGCCTCATGAGGGAGGAGAAGGCCTGGACCGTGTTCAGGCCGATTCTGTTGGCCATGTAGTACAGCCATAGCAAATAAATTTCACACAGAGAGAGACCTGAACCTGGAAATTATTGTCCTTGATGAGGACGGTAACATTAAGATCGCAGACTTCAGCTTCCGTACCACATTCCATGAGAAACAGAAGCTGATAGCCCTTTGTGGCACCTACCCCTGCATGGCCCTGGAACTCTTCCTGGGCCAGGGCTACCAGTGCCCTGCCATGAATGTTTGGAGCCTCGGAGTAATGTTATATCACATGGTGGGTGAAGTTCTGCCCTTCTGCTCACGCAGTGTTAGGGTCTTCACGGGAAAAATTTAAAATGGAAGATGATTTTCCCCAGTATACTTTTCCCGAGGTCTCAAAAGCCTCAATAATAAACTATTAAGAGTAGACCCCAGGGAGCAGACAGCACTAGAAGAAGTGATGAGGGGCCCATGGGTGAACAATTGCCTCTGACAACATATGAAGATCAAATTCTGGACCACTTAAACCCCAAAACAACCCAGCTGTTTGTGGCCATGGGATTCCAGGCTGAGAACCTATCCATGGCAATCAAAGAATTATTCAATTTTCCCATGGCCTCCCACATTATTTTGGAAGAAACAAAATGAAAGAAGCAGTTTACTGTCAGACCACAGTCCCTTCCTTTTGGGGTTCCCAACTGTTTTTCCCTATCCGTTGAAGTTTCCACCTTTTTTCTCCCACTGAAGTGGACTCATAGCATTCAGCAGAAGAGCCCCTTTCTGGCCAGTGCACCTGCCGGCCTGCAGAGAAAGCCAGAGAGCTTCAATCAGGCCCCCCAGTGTGATCCTGTGGCCTCTCTCTCCACCCAGAGCATCAGCAGCAGTAGTGGAGACCCAGAAATATCCCTGGCTCAACAAGCCACCCAGCATGACCCCATGGCCTCCCCTTCCACCCAGAGTACCGCAGCAGTGGTGGAGTCCCAGAAATGTCCCTGGCTCAACAAGCCCTTCAGCGTGACCCTGTGGCCTCCCCCTCCACCCAGAGCAACAGCAGCAGTGGTGGAGTCCCAGAAACGTCGCTGGCTCAACAAGCTCCCTAGCATAACCCTGTGGCCTTTCCTTCCATCCAGAGCACCAGCAGCAGTAGTTCAGAATCAAAAACCTCCCTGGCTCTCCAATCCTTCCAGTATGACACTCTGGTCTCCTTCTCTATCCAGTGCACCAGCAGCAGTGGTGGAGAGCCAGAAACCTTCCTGGCTCACCAAGCCTCCCAGCGTGACCCTGTGGCCTCCCGCTCCACCCAGAGCACCAGCAGCAGTGGCGGTGATGCAGAAACATCCTTGGCTCAGCAAGCCTTCCCCGTGACTCTGTGGCTTCCCCCTCCACCCTGAGCACCAGCAGCAGCAGTGGTGTTCCGTAACAAGGCTCCAGCATGACCCTGTGGCTTCACCCTCTACCCAGAGCACCAGCAGCAGTTGTGCAGACCCAGAAACATCTCTGGCTAAACAAGCCCCCCAGCATGACCCTGTGGCCTCCCCCTTCACCCAGAGCACCAGCAGCAGTGGTAGAGACACAGAAACGTTTCTGCCTCAACAACCATTGCAGAAAGCCAGTGTCTTCCAAGCTGGGCAGCCGAGGCTATGACGTCATCCAAGCCAGCAAGAAGCTGGTGCTGCTGCAGAGCTGCCAGGATATGCCTTTTCATTCAGTTAAAACGTTTTTGCCTGTGTCCAGCAAAGAAAAGGAGGAATAAGATTGCCCCAACATAGTTGCATGACTGAAGACAAAAATCAAGTAGGTGGGGCGGTCAGGCCACACTTCTTGCATTTTACTATATTTATTCTGTCTTTATTAGCATTATTTTAATTGGAAAATCATGCTTGTATTCATTCATGGGGTACAATGTGAGGATTCGATAGATATGTGCACCGTGGAATGAGGAAATCCCGCTACTTAGCATCTCCACCACCTCAGAGAGACCAATTCCACATGATGTCCTGGAAGTGTTGATCTAAAAACGTCGACCCCATAGAAGTAGCAAGTAGATCGATGGTGACCAGGGGTCAGAGAGTGGCAGAGGGAGGGAATGGGGGGTTGTCAGTCAAAGGACCAAAGTCTGGACAGGAGGAAGAGGTTTTGACATCTAGTGCACAGCAGGGTGACCAGATCAATGAGAATGTATTGCATTTTGCAAAACACCTGAGAGAGTCCATGTCAAATGTCTCCCTGCATTTAGATTGGAGAGGACGAAGGCCCTGAGGTCCAAGAACATTGAAACCTGACAGTGGACGTCAATGGCTGCAGGGAGGAGCCTGGCGAGACGCCCACGCTGCCACGTGCCCAGCAACGTTGGAGCCTGTAGCACTTCTCCCCTGCCCTGCTCTATTTTATCTTTTTTAATAAAGATGGCTCCTGATAAATGACTATCTCTTCCAAATCTTGTAGCAGCATCGGAAAGGTGGCAGGTGGGTCACAGACACTCTACTGCTTTGCGCCCTCCCTGCGCAGAACGGGGGCTGTGCACGCCCTAGTTTAGGCGGCATGCAGTCATGTGGTTCTCGCTGTTACTCAGAAAAACTGAAAGGAAACGAAACCTCAGAGAAGAATCGGGGTGACCCCACCCACAGCAAATCATTATTAGTGGCTCTGAAGGGCTGAGGCTCTGAGTGGGTGCAGAGTCCCACATATTGCGCATGGCCTCCCCACACTCACACTGCCTGATGAGCATTTTCAGAACGACCAGCAGCCCCTTCAGGTCCCGTCTGCCTGTGTTAATCCTTCTGAGAGGTTCCCAGGAGGATCCCGAAGCCCTGGGAACCGGGCTGTGCTGGGGTCAGTGGCGGGGTGTGGTCCCCAAAGCACCTTAAGGGGCCACTTGTGCTGCTGGGCTCCTGGCTGTCTAGTGTGGCATTTGCCTTTCTGCTGCGATGGTTTCCCCTTTTGCTAAAAGTGGCAAGGAGCCTTCCCCCTCAGAGGTCTGATGGAGGAGTGAGCCTTCATCCAGGCCCAGGTTGTAGGGGTGCTTCTAGGCAAGGCAGGTGTCCTGTGGGTCAGAAGAGGGTTGACGGCAAGACACAGGAGCAGCCCCGAGGGATGGAGGGGGTGGTGGGAATGAGGCCTTTCATAAGGCAGGTTCCAGCTTCCCAGGAACCTGGTGTTTCCGTGTCAGGCAGTGAATCTATGGGTGCAGATGCCCCATCAACACCCATCAGGGAGCTGCCTTGTGGGTTCCTAAGGACCCTGAGGAAGGTCCAGAAGGCACCACCCTTGTGCATGGCCGGCATCTCAGTGTGCCCAGCCTTGAGCATGCGGTGATCCTGCCCACTGTTGAGTCAGGTAAGATTCTCCTTCTCCAATAAAGAGCAGGACCAGGAAGCAAGAAGCAGGCTCAGGAGAGGGTGGGAGTGTTATAGGGCTCCTTGTCTCCCCAGTGAGCTGCTGTCCTTTAAATCCACATTGGGGGTGAAGGTCCCTCAGGTGTCAACACTGAATCTCCCTCCACCCAATGCCAATTTGTACCCCCAGAAAGCGGGCCACTGTGGATTCTGCTTGAGCTCCCCAAGGGCCCATCAGAGTCTGTCCCTCCACCTTGCTGCTGTGCCCCCTCTGGAAGTGCTGTCCTGTGAGAAGGCACCTTCCCCAGGCCCGGCTTTTACTATCATTGGACAAGGCCAGAATTCTTTCTGGCTGTGACCTGTGGTAGAGCTTGACATCTCCTCTTCAGAAGCCAGGGCTTCCAGCCCATACAGCTGGGCTGCATCAAGGGACTATAGGGAAGGGGCTCCAGGCACCAGGGCAAAAACCCACAAAGAGAGAAACTCCTTTCAAGTGTCCACCTGGGCCAGCATGCAGGCCGGGCAACCTTGGCTTGTTCATCTCCCTTTGCTGCCAGCAGCCTCCATATGGCAGACATTCTTCTCCTGGGGGGCTGACAGCCATGGAGGGTGGGGAGCAGGCCTGAGCAGGGCGGGTTCCCGAAAGACAGCCCAGAAAGCAGGGTCAGATAGTGGGGGGTGGGTTCAGCTCCACTGTCCAGGTGAGGAAACTGAGGCTGAAGAGAGATCAGGTAGCATCCCCAATGAAATCTGGCCAGGAACAGATGGCAAAGATTTGCTGTTTACCCCGTCCCAGGCTGCCCCGCACCCACCCAGCCACTTCCCAGTACTCTGCTTTGTCCCCATTCTCGGGTTCTGAAGTCATCCTGTTTTACACCCATAAGGAACAGGGACCTTGCCTCCCTGGCAGCCACACAGCCCTGGCACCCAGGAGGCCCTCAGTCAATATTTGTGGAATCAGTGAAACCCTGGGATTCAAGCCCGAGGTGTGTCTGCAGAGCATTGGAAATGCAGCCCTGAGTCCGTCCCCAAGGTCGCCTGATAGAGCAGGCCTGGGGACCGGCAGGGGAAGCGGATGCCTACCGTGACTCTCGGGAAGACTGGTGGGACTGTCACTAAGCTTATTTGCCTGTCCAATCTTGGGGATCCTGAGCTCCCTACTGGGCAAGCTCGTAGGGGTTCGGCTCCGCTTACGGGTCTCTGGCTCTGCCTCCCAGTCCCGGCTCCGACTCAGCCCAGCCTGGGTGGGGCCGTTGGCCGTTGGGAGCAATGCCCCCGCATTGCATCACTGCCACCTGGCCCTGCCCCCATCTCCATGGAGACCTGAGGCCGCTGGACCAGATGTCAGAAGCTGCTCCAGAGCCTGGTGCATATATATCTTCCATATACTTGCTAGTATCTGTCCCCTTTTCCCCCAGACCTCCTCCTGTGCAACATGGAATGATGAAAATCTAGACACAGGAATCTCACTCCCGGCCTAGCCACGACTCAGGTTTTGTGAAGGGGTATGAGGCGGGAGGAAAAGCAAACCCCATGAAACCAACACCTAGTCTAGAGCCTGATCAAAGTGCCACTCAAAGCACGATTCCTCCCTTTACTTTCCTATAACCTGAGAATTCTTCCTGAAAATGGTGGCCCTTGAGAACCATCTAAAAGCATCATGGGGTGGAGGGGCAAGGGTCCTGAGAGCTGCTCTTGCCATCCCTTGTCCCAGTTTTCTTGAAGCCGAGCTCCAGAGAAGAGGCGGGGCCCGTGGGGCCTTTGGATTACACTCCAAGTCCAATTCCCAGTCCAGCAATCCTGCCCTCAGAGGCTCCCTTCATCTGTCCACTTGGCAAAGGAAGGGGCGGGTCGGCCCACGCCCCCTGTCTGGCTGCAGACGACAACCATCAGAAGGGTGTCTGTGTAGCCGGGGCCCCAGAACCATGTCTGCATGGAAAGGGCCCAAGGAGCTGGAGCCCTGTAGCCTCAAGAAGAGCGTGAGGGACCCAGCTCCGTTCTGAAACCTAAACTGCATTCTGGCCTGTGCCCTAGAAGGTTGTGAAGGCCTCTAAGTGGGTCCTCCTGCTTCCCCATCTTCTGAGGCCCAGGCCTTTCTCAGAGCCTCTGTAGGTCCCACCCCTGGTCCCTTCCCGCCTCAGGCTATGTGACAGTATGACTCCCCACCTATTTATTCATTTCTACGGGAAACACTAGTAAAACAATTCCTCAGCCTTGACCCCAGGGAGCAGCCCCCACTAAACCAGCTGACGTGGCACCCCTGGGTCAATGCCGGCCAGAAGACACTGCTGACACCATACAGAGACCCTGGACACCTATGCCCCCTACAACCCTGGTAATGGTGGCCATGGGATTCCAAGCAGCACACATCTCGGAATCAATATTCTCCCCCACAAAAAATACGTATGTGATTATCCCATGGCCACGTACCTAATCCCGGGGTAGAGAAAAGTACAGAGGAGGAAGCGTTCCATCATTGGAGCACAGCCCTTCCTCCTGGGGGTCCCACCTGTTCTTCCCCATCTGACAAAGTCTGCCTTCCTTGTGGAACCAAAGAGGGCTCAAAGTGAGCCAGCTGTTCCCACTTTTAATTTTCAGCTGCCTGAGGAGGGTCAGAAGTGAGGGCAAAAGACCACCATTCCTGCTCAGAACTCTTCCTGGGCTGGGGTACCAGTGCCCTGCCATGGACATATGGGGCCTCGGTGTCATACTCTACCATACAGTGTCTGGGACCCTGCCCTTCTATTCAGGGAACACGATGGACCTTGAGAATACAATTCTCACAGGAAGCTACCATGCCCCACCATTTTTTCCCCCTTCAACTTGAAAGACTCATTCAAAAGTTACTAACACGAGAACCCAGGGAGTGGCCCCCACTGAAACAAGTTATGAGGAACTGGTGGGTGAACTGTGGCCAGGAGATGCCACAGACAACATACAAAGAGCCACTACTGGACCACCTGAACCCCAAACCACCCAGCTCATGGTGGCCATGGGATTCCAGGCCAAGAACATCTCTGTGCCAATCAAAGAAAAAGCGTTTCACTATCCTATGGCCACCTACCTCATTTTAGAACAAACAAAAGCAGCAGTCCACCATCAGACCATGGTCCCTTCCTCCTGGGGTTCCCACCTGTCCTTCTCTATCCACTGAACTTTCCACCATCCCTCTCCCACTGAAGCAGGCTCACAGCGAGCCAGCTTGTCCCATGTTCAGCATTCAGAAGAAGACCACCATTCCTGCCAGTGCACCTGCCGGCCTGCAGAGGAAGCCGCACAGTTTTAGTAAAGCCCCCCAGCATGACCCTGTGGCTTCCCCCTCCATCCACACCACCAGCAGCAGTGGCAGAGACCCAGAACCTCCCTTGCCCAGCGACAACCATCGTAGGAAGTCAGCGTTGTCTAAGCTGGGCAGCCCGAGGCTGTGACGTCAGCCTCGCCAACAAAAAGCTGGGGCTGCCGCAGGGCTGCCAGACGATGCACCTTTCAATTCTGTTAAGATTTTGTTGCACGCGTCCACCGAAGGAAAGGAGTAATAAGATCACCTCAACATAGTCGCATGACTGAAGACAAAAATCGAGTAGGTGGGGAGGTGAAGCCACACTTCTTGTATTTTACTATATTCATTCTGTCTTTATTACTATTATTTTAATTGGCAAATCATGCTTGTATTCATTCATGGGGTACAATGTGAGGATTAGATAGATGTGTGCACCGTGGAATGAGGAAATCCCGCTACTTAGCATCTCCACCACCTCAGAGAGACCAATTCCACCTGATGTCCTGGAAGTGCTGATCTAAAAACGTTGACCCCATAGTAGTAGCAAATAGATGGATGGTGAACAGGGGCCGGAGAGCGGTAGAGGGAGGGGATGGGGGGTTGTCGGTCAAAGGACCAAAGTCTGGACAGGAGGAAGAGGTTTTGACATCTAGTGCACAGCAGGGTGACCAGAGTCAATGAGAATGTCTTGCATTTTGCAAAATACCTGAGAGAGTCCATGTCAAATGTCTCCCTGCATTTAGATTGGAGAGGACGAAGGCCCTGAGGTCCAAGAACATTGACAGTGGACACCAACGGCTTTGGGGAGGAGCCGGGCGAGATGCCCACGCTGCAGTGTGCCCAGCAAAGTGGGAGTCTGCAGCACTTCTCCCCTGCCCTGCTCTACTTTATCTTTTTTAATAAAGATGGTTCCTGATAAACGACGGTTTCTTGAAAATCTTGTAGTAGCACTGGAAAGGTGGCAGGTGGGTCACACTCTGCTGCTTTGCGCCCTCCTTGCCAACGCAGGCTGTGCAAACCCTAGTTTAGGCGGCATGCAGTCATATGATCCTCTCAGTTTCTCAGAAAAACTGAAAGGAAAAGAGACCTCAGGGAAGTATCAGGATGACCCCACCCACAGCAAATCATTACCAGTGGCTCTGAAGGGCTGAGGCTCTGAGTGGGTGCAGGGCAGAGTCCCACACATTGCGCATGGTCTCCCCACACTCACACTGCCTGGTGAGCATTTTCAGGAGGACCGATGGCCCCTTCAGGTCCCATCTGCCTGTGTTAATCATGCTAAGAGGTGCCCATTGGGAACAGGCTCCAGGAACCAGGGCAAAACCCACAGAGAAAGCCCCTTCCAGGGTCCACCCAGGCCGGGCCTCAGGAGCCATGGGGCCCTAGGTACAGGCCGGGCAACCTTGGGTCGTTCATCTCCCTCTGCGGCCAGCGGCCTCCTTTTCGGGGGACATTTTCAGGAGGGACTGACAGCCATGGAGACGGGGAGCAGGCCTGAGCAGGGCAGGCTTCCTAGAGGCAGCCCAGAGAGCAGGGTCCGGGAGTGGGGGGGCTCCAGCTCCACTGTAAAGGTGAGGAAACTGAGGCTGAAGAGAGATCAGGTAGCATCCCCAATGATATCTGGCCAGGAACAGATGGCAAAGATTCACTGTTTCCACCATCCCAGGCTGCCCCGCGCTCACCCACGTCCCAGTACTCTGCTTTGTCCCCCTTACCAGGTTCTGAAGTCGTCCTATTTTACACCTGTCACTCCCACTGCAGCAGGGACCTTGCCTCCCTCACAGCCACAGAGGCCTCACACCCAGGAGGCCACAAATCAGTTATTTGTGGAATCAGTGAGATGGGATTCAAGCCCTAGGTGTGTCTGCAGAGCATTGGAAGTACAGTACTGGGTCCCCAAGGCCACAGGCAGAGGGGTCCTGGGGACCCGCAGGGGCAGTGGACGCCTACTATGAGTTTCCAGAAGGCTGGTGTGACTGTCACTAAGTTTATTTGCTGGTCCAATTTTTTGGAATCCTGAAATTTCCACTGGGAGAAGCCAGAGTTTCCCACTTCAGCAGGTGCGGTGACCACCTGGCCCAGGGCATCATCTCTTCCTCCTGTCTGGCCCCTGCTTCCCCTCTCCTGCCATCTCCCCATGCCTCCCTGCCCAGGGGTGGGCAGTAGGGCAGGGTGGGGTGGGAATCTGTTGTAACCAGGAAGGGAATTGCCCCCAGGCCAAGAGAGTTTGTAGCCTGGGGTACCGTCACCAACAGCCCGGGACCTGGCAGCTGGGCCCTGCCCTAGAGTCCTTCTGCAGCAGGGCTCTCCTCCCGAGGGGCTGTGAATGTTTCCCCAGGGTGCGGCTAAGCCAGAGCCCAGAGGTTTGCCCCTAGGTCATGGATTCCCCAGGTCACTCGCCTCCTATAGGCTTTAGTGAAGGAGGCACTGAGGGGAGGATGGCTCTTCCCCTGCAAGGAAACGAGCCCCAGGGAAGGCATTCCTGCTCTGGGGACTGCCTCCCTCCCCCACATGAGAGCCAGCCACTGCAGAAGCTTGACCAAGCTGACCTTGATCTCTGCCAGAGAGGCTGAAAGAACATCCAGCCCCACCTGTGGTCCCCTCCCGCCTCAGGCTAGGCTACATCTAGGCCTGCCAGGGAGACTGGTCTCCTCACGAGCCCCCTCGCACAGATGTCTAGATGTCCAGAGTCACAACAGAACACACACAGGGTTAAAAACTATATACTGAAGCAGGCCAAGCTGAAAGCTGGTGCCTCCCCAGGACACGACCCAGCCATGGGGAGCAGGCTTAGGTTCATTTTTGCTGAGTCTGCAATCAAATCAAGAAGCCTCATTTCTTTGGCTTTGTGGTCTCAGCACCAAGCACTTAGGAGGTGCGTTTGTGGAACCTCCTGTCTGGCCTCTAATTCTGGCATGGGTCTGTGCTTGTCATTCAATCCTACTGGCTGGCTAGACCACCTTGCCTTGGCCCCTCCTGTTAGGAATCAGATTGACTGTCTCATCAGAATATTGTTGAATCGGGGAGAGTCTCATACCCCAGGTAGTAGGCAGTGACCTCTGCATGGTACAGTCCTTGTCAGGACCTTTGTCCTCCTTGGCCAGGCTCCAGCTCTGAGCTGGCATTTTCACTATCTCAGGTGCTGGTGTGTAAACACTGTGGTTTCCTTCTGGGTCCTCTTCTCAAGGTTTTCCTCTGCATCTTGCTGGTCGGGAATTGCAGCAACACTTAAAATATTCCTGAGTGTGAAGGTTCTTTCAGCAAACACTATTCATTCATTTATTCAATAAATATTTATTGAGCTTCTACTCCATGTGTCAAGCACTGTTCGAGTTGCTGAACAGTTACTACAGTGCACAAAACAAGAAAATTCCTGTCTTCAGGGTTCCGATTTCAGTGAGGAAAGCCAGACAATAATGGTGATAAATAGAGATCATATGTTGTGTGTTCTATTGGAAATGTGCTCAGGAGAAAGATCGAGCTGGGGTGGGTGGTGTTGGCATGTTAGGTAGAGTGGAAGCAAAGGCTTAAAAGAAGTGGGTGAGTGAGCTGTGTGTGCAACTGGGAACAGCCGGCCTGGCCCTAGGGCTCAGCCAGTGCAAAGACCTGGAGGTCTGCAGGTGCCTGGCTCATTGGGGGAATGGCGAGGAGGCTGGCGTGGCTGAGGGGGAGCCGGCGGAGGGTAAGAGGAGGCAAGGACTCAGAGGTCAAGAGAGCAGGAGTTCGCACAGGGCTCTGGAGTACTCCGCTTTTTACACCGGCAGGGAAGCCTCTTCTGAGCAGAAGAAGAATGCAATCGGGGACCTGAAGCCCTCTGGATGCTGCATGGGCCAGGGACCCAGGAGCGGGTAGGTGGAGGGAGGGAGCCCAGAGAGGCCACTGCAAGGATCCAGGCCAGTGATGACAGTGGCAGGACCAGAGGGGTTGCAGCAGGGGTGGGGGGAAGGGCTGGGTTCCGGACGTCCCTTGAAAGTGGGGCCAACGGCACTTGCTGACAATTATCCATTAGACATCACCATGGCACTGCTGTTCCCATGGCTGTCACATCAGGTCCCCACGTTTGTCCTAGCAGCTGTCATTTCACACAGGGTCGGTGCTTTCTGTGTGTGTGGCCGAGCCTCAGCCGTCTTGCCCACTTGGTTCCTACCACCCCCGGAGCCAACTAATGAAAGGCCCCCTGAACTCTGCTCAGAATTCAGTTAAATGGTTACCAGTCATTATTCTGGAGGTCACAAGATTTACAACTTTCCCAATTCACTATTATAGAACCTAAGACTGGCCTTTTGAGATGCAACCCTTTCATTTCAACCAAAAATCCTTTCAGATTTTTGCATTTCTGACAACCGGATGGTCCCACCTGGACCCCTGACTGTTGGCTCAACCAGTCCTGTGGCCCCACCAGGAAGCAGATTCAGTGCAAAAAGAGCATTTCTCACACCCCTATGACTGCATCCCCAACCGGTCAGCAGCACCCATTCCTCTAGCCCCCGCCCACCAAACCACCCTGGAAAAACCCCAACCTCCACATTTTCAGGGAGATTGATTTGAGCAGCAACTCCATCTCCCAGGTGGCATGGTCAGCCTCACATCAGTTGAACTCTTTATTGCAATGCCACAGTGTCAATGAATTGGTTTTGTCTGTGCAGTGGGCAGGAAGACCCCATCAGGCAATTACAAACCTATGAAGGAAGGTCAAGGTGAGAGGTGAAGCCAGCTGGACTTCCTGGGTCGAGTGGGGACTTGCAGAACTTTTCTGTCTAGTTAGAGGATTGTAAAAACGCACCAATCAGCGCTCTGTGTCTAGCTAAAGGTTTGTAGATGCACCAATCAGCACTCTGTAGAAACACACCAATCAGCGCTCTGTGTCTAGCTAAAAGCTTGTAGACGCACCAATCAGCACTCTGTAAAAACGCACCAATCAGTGCTCTGTGTCTAGCTAAAGGTTTGTAAACGCACCAATCAGCACTCTGTAAAATGGACCAATCAGCACTCTGTAAAATGGACCAATCAGCAGGATGTGGGTGGGGCCAGATAAGGGAATAACAGCTGGCCACCTGAGCCAGTAGAGGCACCCTGCTGGGGTTGCCTTCTACACTGTGGAATCTTTGTTCTTTCACTCTTCACGATAAATCTTGCTGCTGCTTACTCTTTGGGTCCACACTACCTTTATGAGCTGTAACTCTCACTGCGAGGGTCTGTGGCTTCACTCCTGAAGTCAGCGAGACCACGAACCCACTGGAAGGAACAAACAACTCGGGACGCGCCACCTTTAAGAGCTGTAACACTCACTGTGAAGGTCTGCGGCTTCACTCCTGAAGTCAGCGAGACTATGAACCCGCTGGAAGGAACAAACAACTCCGGACCTCCACCTTTAAGAGCTGTAACACTCACTGTGAAGGTCTGCAGCTTCACTCCTGAAGTCAGTGAGACCATGAACCCACCGAAAGGAAGAAACTCCGGACACATCTGAACATCTGAAGTAACAAACTCCGGACACACCATCTTTAAGAACTGTAACACTCACCGCGAGGGTCTGAGGCTTCATTCTTGAAGTCAGCCAGACTGAGAACCCACCGGAAGGAACCAATTCCAGACACAAAGGTTTTCTGATTACCATTCTGATGCTTACCAGCCTCCCAACTTAAAAAAACAAACAAACAAAAACAAAACAAAAAAAACCAACCAGTATGCACAATTTTGCAAGGCAAAGTGGGAAGAAAAAATAATTCCATACCCTTTGGCCCAGTAAAACTGCTTCGAAAACCAAGGAGAAAAAGGCCAGGGGTAGAAAGGGGTTCACTATAGCATTGTTTGCCAATGCAAAGATAAAATGAGTCTCAAAATGGGAAACATAAATTGTCCTGTGGTGAGCTCTACGGGAGAAATCAATTTAAGACATCATCGCTCAGTCACCCAACATTTTTTGAATGCTAATTCTATGGCAGGCCCTGGCATCTGTGTGGCGGAAACACAGATCGACAAGACTCAGGCCCCTCCCCTGCAAAAAGGTCACCGAATTGTCAGAATTAGGCTAAGTGTCAGAGTTAGACTACAGCATCACAAACTGTCTTGCAAAATGCTGCTGGGGAGGTGCAGAGAGAGAAGAGCCAGTAACGGAGGCGCAGTCTGGGAAAGCTCCCAGCAGGGGTCTGATTGATGGGTGGTGAAGAACTAATGAAATTCCCCAGGAGGAACAGGTGTGTAGGGGGGCGCCGGCAGAAAAGGAGGGGAAAAGCAACAAAGAGAAACAAGATGTGAAGTGGGAAAAAGGCAAAGAACAAACAGTTCCAACCTACAATGACAACTGTAGAGAAGTTCCATGCAATCTCTGTATTGTTTTATTTGCCAAGAGCACTATAACTTTCGATTCATGGTTTGCATTAGCAAAATACTGTCAATACATCTAAATCCATCAGAGGAGTGGCTAACTCAGCTCTAGCACATCTGTACTATGGAGCCACTGAGGGAAGAATGCATAGTTCTATAGGAGCTCATGTGAATTGATCTCCAGAATATATTAAATCAAGAGGAAAGTAAAGGACAGTGTGACTAGAATAAGCATATGTGTATGTGATTGATGTCTATTTCTTTTTTTTTTTTTTTCTTGAGATGGAGTTTTGCTCTTGTTGCCCAGGCTAGAGTGCAATAGTGCAATTTCTGCTCACCGCAATTTCCACCTCCTGGGTTCAAGCGATTCTCTTGCCTCAGCCTTCCGAGTAGCTGAGATTACAGGCATGCACCACCAGGCCCGGCTAATTTTGTATTTTTAGTAGAGACAGGGTTTCTGCATGTTGGTCAGACTGGTCTCAAACTCCTGACCTCAGGTGATCCACCCACCTAGGCCTCCCAAAGTGCTAGGATTACAGGTGTGAGCCACCGCGCCCAGCCTGTAATGGGTGTCTATTTCTTAGTTTTACTTACATCCTTCTGTGTTTCTGAAAGTACACACAAAAACAAGATGGTGTTTGCTCCTGAAGGAATCAGATGGGGTTAGATGAATGATTATGTTTACCCTTTGGAACCGCTTATTCTTCTAGAATTTTAATTGTGCATATATTTCACCTGCTGAAATTGATCCACAGTTCTTGAAACTTTTGTTCTTTGTTTAGTTCCCTTTCTTTTTTCTCTTTGCATTTCGGTTTGGTATGTTTCTGTTCACCTACATTCAAGGTCACTGATGCTTTCCTTGGTTGTGTTCAGTCTACAGGTGAGCCCTATCAAAGGCAACTTCATCTCTGTTAGTGTTTTTCATTCCCAGCATTTTCTTTTTATTCCTTTTTAGAGTTTCTATCCCTCTGCTTGCATTACCCATCTGTTCTTGTCTGTTGTCTACATTTTCCGTTAGAGGCCTTCACGTATTAATCATACTTCTTTTAAATTTCCTATCTGGTAATTCCAACATCTGTGTTGAGTCTGGTTCTAATGATTGTTCTTCAGACTGTGTTTTTCGCTTGCCTTTTAGCTTGCCTTGTAACATTTTGGTCAAAGTAGGGCATATTGTGTCAGAAAATGGGAACTAAGGCATATAGGCCTTTAGAGTGAGGTTTTTATGTTAATTTAGCTCGCAGTTGGGCTGTGTTTAATTTCTGCTGTAGCTGCAGCTGCCAGAGGCTTCACATGCTTCTTGGTTCTCTCTTCTCTGTTGTCTTTGGGCTTTGCTAGGCACCCTGCCCGCTTCAGATCAAGTCTGTATCTTGCACCTTTTTGGATGTAATTCACGATTATTATCCTGAAGCACTGTTAGTATGCTGGTTAGGTGTGGGAGAGGGGAAGTGTTCTACAATCTCATGATCAAATTTCAGTCTTTTTTTTTTTTTTTTGTGAGACGGAGTCTTGCTGTGTCACCCAGCCTGGAGTGCAGTGGGGAGATTTCAGCTCACTGCAACCTCTGCCTCCCAGGTTCAAATGATTCTCCTGCCTCAGCCTCCGGAGTAGCTGGGACTATAGGTGCCTGCCACCACGCCTGGCTAATTTTTTGTATTTTTAGTAGAAATGGGGTTTCACCATGTTAGCCAGGATGGTCTCCATCTCCTGACCCCGTGATCTGCCCACCTCCCAAAGTGCTGGGATTACAAGCGTGAGCCACTGCACCCGGACCCTCGAATCTCAGTCTTTTAGTGGGCCTGTGTGCCTAGGCTGTGACCTTCACACGTGTTTCTCCCTCTACTCTTTTAGGTGAGACAGGAAGGGTGAGGCAGCTAGAGTCAGAGAGCTGCACTTCCTCCAGGTGGAATAAGGCTCTGAATGGCCCCTGGAGAGTAAGCCTTTGCCATACACAATGCTCTGGGCAATTTTACTATGGTTACTCTTCTCCTTCCCCTGCCAAAGCAAAGAGGAAATCTTTCCTGGCTCTTCACCATGAGAACCTGGTAAGTAAAACCCACTCTAAGACTGTGGCCCTGAGGAGCTTCTCAACCCCGTGCTAGTCCACACTTGGCCTTTAGCAATTCATCAGAATTACTGTTTCAACATCTCTACCACCTTATAGCTCCAGCAGCTTCTGTTCCAGGGAAGCAGATCTCAGGTGTGACTCTGTATTCATCTATCTCTACAGATTTCGGGCAGCAGGTACAGTTTGTCCTGAGATTTCAGTTCTTTAATGGGCTTAAGAAAAGTCACTGGTTTTTGGTTTGCTGAGCCTCTTCTTGTTGTATGGACAGCAGCGATGACTTCCAGGCTCTTCACGCAGTGGAGCTAAGGCTGAAATTCTGTTTTGTAGTTTTCAGCATACATATCTTGGACATGTTATGTTAGATTTCTACCTAAGAGTTTTGTTCGTTTTGTTTTTTAAACTCTTGTAAATGGCATTGTCTTTAAATTTTCATTTTCTGATTGTTCACTGCTAGTATGTAGAGATAAATTTGATTTTTGTATGTTGATCTGGTATCCTATAACCATGCTAAGCTCACTCATCAGTTCCAAGAGTTTTTGTAGCTTCCTGGTGATTTTTCTTTTTCATTTCATTTCTTTTCTTTTCTTTTTTTTCTTTTTGAGACAGGGTCTCACTCTGTTGCCCAGGCTGGCGTGCAGTAGTGCCCTCACAGCTCATTGTAGCCTTGACCTTCTAGGCTCAACCGATCCTCCCATCTCAGCCTCCCCAGTAGCTGGGACTATAGACAAGCACCATCATGCTCTTTTAATTTTTTGTAGAGATGGGGTCTCACTATGTTGCCCAGGCTGGTCTTGAACTCCTGGGCTCAAGCAATCTTCCTGCCTTAGCTTCCCAAAGTGCTGGTATTACAGGTGTGAGCCACCACTTCCAGTAACTTTATTTTCTATGTAGAAAAATCACTAAGAGGCCAAGCGTGTGGTTCATGCCTGTAACCCCAGCACTTTGGGAAGCTGAGGCAGGAAGACTGCTCAAACCCAGGAGTTTGAGACCAGCCTGAGCAACATAGTAAGACCCCATCTCCACAAAAAAATTTAAAAATTAATTGAGTGTGGTGTGTGCTGTAGTCCCAGCTACTTGGGATGATCGCTTGAGCCTAGAAGATTGTGGCTACAGTAAGCTGTGATGGCACCACTGTACTCTAGCCTGGGTGACACAGTGAAATCCTGTCTCAAAGAAAAGAAAAGAAAAATCAAATAATCTGTGAATGGGTCCAATTTTATTTCTTCCTTTCCAACATCTGTGACTTATATTTCTTTCCCTGTCTTATTATACTGTCTAGGACTTCCAGTATAAAGTTGAATAGAAGTAGTGAGAGTGGGCATTCTTGCCTTATTCTGGATCTTAGGGGGAAAGCTTTCAGTCTCCCTAAACCTTATGTGTGATGTCAGTTGTAGGCTTTTTTGTAGATGTCCATTATCAGGTTGGGGAAACTGCACATTTTAGTTGTGAATGGATATTGCGTTTCGTCCAATTCGTTTTCTGCATAAACTGGTATGATCATGTGGTTTCTCTTCCTTTATTCCTGATGTCTCAGTTTTCCTACTGGTGTGATTCCCTTCTGTCTGAAGAAATTCCTTAAGCAATTCTCTTAGACCAGGTTTTCTGGCAATGAATTCTCTTTGTGTTATTTGAGAATGTCTTTATCTCATCTTAATTTCTGAGAGTTATTTTTACTGGGTAAAGAATTCAAGATTGACAGTTTTTTCTTCCAGGACTTTAAGTATGATGAGACTCTGGTCTCATGTATTGAATGTAACCCCATTTCTTCATGTGTAGAATCCATAAAGTAAGAGTAAGGTCACAGGGCTAGCAGACAAAGTATTTCTGTTCCCACCCTTATACTTTAAGAAATGTGTCCATTTGGTGACTTTCTGCTACACATAAGAGATCTGGACTCAATGTAACTTCATATAAACTCAGAAGTAAAGTAGGCTTCTGAGGACTGCATTTTGAAAAATGTTCAGGGCTCTGGTTCCATTTTTCTATTCATCTGTAGATTCTACCCTCCTCTGGCTTAGCTTCTTGGTCTCAAGATGGTTGCTGGTGGCAACTGAAGCAGCATGTGTCCTCACCCAAGTCCAGTAGGATAGAACAAAGCTCCCTCCACCCTCCTGATTGCCTTCAGCCTGATTGGGTCACATGCACACCCCTGGACCAATAATAGTTGACAAGAGAATGACATGCACTGATTGGCTTGAACTTGGGTACTTGAACCAATCAATGGCAAGGTGGACTGTCTTAGTCTAATAGACCCTCTCCTAGAGCTTACCCTGCTATTGGCTTACCCCGTCTGCATGGGACAGGTGGAGTAAATCCCTTGGACAAAAGCAAGATTTGCTAGTAAGGAGGAAGCAAGGAACAGTGGTGGAAATGGATAGTGGGTTGGTGGGTCAGAGATAATGTGTGTTTACCGCACTATTTTCTTCTTTCTGGGTACCCAGGAAGACTACATTTCCCAGTTAGGTTGGGACCCTGTGATTAAGATCTGACCAAGAGGGATGGGGAGAGGTGATGTAAACCTCTTCTGGGCATCACTTTTAAAAACATCTTGTGTTCTTTTCCAGCACTCTTTTTCTGTGGAGTAAGAGAGTTCTTACTCTTCCACAGTTAAGTTGGCATAGGTTCAGTATGGGGGAAGATTATCTGAGCTGCATGGAACTGAGATGTGAGTGAGAAATAAACTTTTATGACATTAAGCCTCTGAGATTTGGAAGTTTATTTATTACTGTAGCAAAGCACCGCTTATCTGGATCAATACAGTACAGCAGTGGTTTTCAAAATGTAGTACTCAAACCAGCTGCATCAGGCCTTGCCTGGGACCATTTACATGCAAATCCTCTTATTCCCACCACAGACAGTTGAAATGGAATCTCTAGGGGTGGGGCCTGGCACTCTGCAAGCCCTGCAGGCAATTCTGAAACATGCTAAAGTTTGAGAACCACTAATTTAGGGAATCAACAGTGTTGGGAATCACTTTCTGGTCTTCTCAGGTGCTGTGGAGTGAGTGCCATGTTCCTCTTCTCCTCTTCCCTCTGTTGAGCCCAGCGCTGGTTGTTGCAGAACCTGGAAGCCTGACTGCATCAGCCAAGATGCCGTTTCTGCCCCTACCACAAATACCTGTGCCCATACAGCTATGACGTGCTTTACTTCTTGTCCGGCTGCAGCTTCTGCAGCCCACGTTCAAACTGCTCTCCCCTTTGCCGGCTCTGATGTGCTTCTCCAGTGAGCCTATGTGGCCGAGGTCCCCTCCCCACCACCAGTAGTAGCTGTTACATAAGTGGCTTGAACCCATCCCTCCCCTCTCTATAAAAATTGTAACTAATAACCTGTGAGTCCACCCTGAGGTCCTATAATTCCTGTCTACAGCAGAGAAGCCTGATGTTTTTTATTGCTCTGGGAAGGCTTTTGGAAGGTAAGATAATGAGTTTTATTAGGAAATATTGCAAGTAATCAGAGAATTTTAAAAATTGTGTTTGGCATCTGCCGGGGTCCTGAGACTCCGAGCTAGGAGGAGTACTGGATCCAGTCCTACCCATCCTCAACCCCAAGATGAAACCACTGAGGTACAGGGGGTGTGTGGGCCTCCCACTTCCTCTAAACTTAGCACCAGTGACTTTCACAGTATTTGACCTTTAATGATCAACATGCTATCTTTTTTTAATGATGTGGTAAGTTTAGGCAATTACAAACATTCTTTTATTTATCATTATGGTAAGAATATACATAACATAAAATTTACCATTTTAACCGTTTAAAAAATATATTTTTCGCCAGGCATGATGGCTCATACCTGTAATCCCAGCACTTTGGAAGGGTGAAGCTAGCGGATTGCTTGAGCTCAGGAGTTCAAGACCAGCCTGGGTAACATGGCAAAACCCTGTCTCTACAAAAAATACAAAAATTAGCCAGGCACGGTCGTGCACGCCTGTGGTCCCAGCTACTCAGGAGGCTGAGGTAGGAGGATTGCACCACTGCACTTCAGCCTGGGAAAGAGAGGAAGACCCTGTCTCAGAAATTTTTTTTAATGTATTTAATTAATTAATTGATTGATTGTAGAAACAGGTCTCACTTTGTTGCCCAGCTTGGTCTTAAACTCCTAGGCTCAATGAGTCTTCCACCTCAGCCTCCCAAAGTGCTGGGATTATGGGCATGAGCCAATATGCTTGGCCTTTTTTAAGAGAAGAGTTCAGTCTATGTTGCTCAGGCTGGCCTTGAACTCCTTGGCTCGAGCAATCCTCCTATCTCAGCCTCCAGAGTAGCTAGGACTACAGGCATGCCCCACTGCACCCAGCTCATTTTAACCATTTTTACGTGTACAGTTCAGTGGCATTAAGTATATTCACAGTATTGTACAACCATCATCATCCATCTCCAGTACTTTTTTATCTTCCCAAACTGCAATTCTGTACTCATGAAACACCAACTCACTATTCCCGGCTCTCCCCAGCCCTGGGTGACCACTATTCTAACTTTCTGCCTCTATGAATCTGAGTACTCTGGGTACACAAATAAGTGGAATCATACAATATTTGTTCTTCTGTGACTGGTTTATTTCACTTAGCATAATGTCATCAAAGTTCATCTGTGTTGTAGCATGGGTCGGAATTTCTTTCTGTTTTAAGGCTGAATCGTGTTCCATTGTATGCAGAGACCACATTTTGTTTATCCATTCATCTGTGAATGGACACCTGGCTTGCTTCTACCTTTTGGCAATTGTGAATAATGTTGCTGTGAATATAGGTATACAAATATCCTTTTGGCTTTTAGTTTTTTTAAATATACATACCCCCCAGCAGTGGAGTTGCTGGATCATATGGTAATTGCATATTTACTTTTTTGAGGAAACACCGTACTTACTATCTGTCTTTTTAATAGTAGCCATAATAGTGGGTGTGATGTTGTATCTCATTGTGGCTTTAATTTGCATTTCTCCATTGGCAAAGGGTTTTTAATTTTATCCAGAATTTTTATCTAAGAGTTTTATAGTTTTAGCTCTTACATTTTGGACTTTGATCCATTTTGGGGTAATTTTTGTATATCGTAAGGTAGAGTCTCAACTTCGTTCTTCTGCAAGTAGATAGCTAGTTGCCCTAGCAACATTTATTGAAAAGACTATTCTTCATTGAATTACTCTGGCACCATTGTCAAAAACAATTGGCCTTAGATGTAAGAGTTTATTTCTGGACTGTCAATTCTTTTCCATTGATCTATATGTCCGTCCTTATGCCAGTACCACACTGCCTTGATTTCTGTACCTTTGTCTATTCTGGCTTACCTGAATTTCCATATGAATTTTAGGATCAACTTTTCAATTTCTACAAAGAAGCCAGCTTGAAATTCGATAGAGATTTCATTGAATCCGTAGATGAATTGAGGGAGTCCTGATTATTTAGTCCAGTTTATGTTGTGGTTGAAGCAGGCACAGAAAGAATGAGGAAGACTTCCCTGAGTCTCCGAGGCGACTCTTGAGACACCTCTGTCAAATAGACACTTTCTATTTGAAGCACAAATAGAAGTTAGTTAGGAGAAGGGCAGGGGAAGAGAGGAACATTCAAGCCCGATGAATAAGATTGTATGGAGCCTGGGGTGGGTGAGTGTGCTTGAGTGAGATGCAGAGTTAGACTAAGAGATGAGGGACATAGAAAGAGATGAGGAACAGAGAGACAGACCAGGGGACCCCACATGCAGGGAGAGATTTAGGGGGGTGGTGGGAGAGAGGGATATGGGAGAGAGATAGAAGAGGGATAAGGGAGACGAGACACAAGGCAGAGAGAGGCCTAGTCCATTTGCGTTGCTATAAAGGAAGACCTGAGGCTGGGTAATTTATAAAGAACAAAGGTTAATTTGGCTCACAGCTCTTCAGGCTGTACAAGAAGCATGGCGCCAGCATCTGCTTCTGGCAGGGGCCTCAGGCTGCTTCCACTCATGGCAGAAGGGGAAGGGGAGCTGGTGTGTACAGATCACCTGGTGAGAAAGGAACACAGAGAGGCTCTTCAACAACCAGTTCTCACGGAACTAAGATCAAACACTCACACCCTCCAGTGAGGATGGCACCAAGCCATTCATGAGGGATCTGCCCCATGATCCCAACACCTCCTACCAGGCCCCACGTCCAACACAGGGGGTCAAATTTAACATGAGCCTTGGTGGGGGCCAAACAAACCACATCCAAACCCTAGCACACAGAGAGAGACTGAGGGAAAGAATGGGGCTGAGGCCCTAAGGAAATGCAAATAGCTCAGTTCTGTGGAGTAAGTGGCAAGAGATGAGGGAAAAACTGGATCCTGAAGGACTTCTGAAAACAGAAGAAGTCATTTTCCCAGTTTCTGGAGTCAGGACTCCATTTGTTACCCTGTCTCCATGTGCCCCCACTCTAACAGGGGAGGCTGACACTTCATTTAACAATGTCAGCTCAGACCTTCTAATGGTCCTCAAAATATGTGTGCATTCACTTTTCCCCAGAGAACAGTTACCAGAGTAAGTGGTCACAAGTCCCTTTAGGGGAGGGCTGAGGGCGTCATTGCCATGTATGCTGGCCATGGGCTTGCCAGGCTCCTTCCTCCTGGGGACCCAGCCTCCTTTTAAAACAGTTGAATTCTAGGTCCAAAAACTGGCCGCAGTGTAGAACTGAGCAAGGGATTATGCTCATTCTTGGGACAATTGCCTTGAGCCTCCAGCTCATCCCTCCTTCGTTTCCTTTGATGGTACCAGCTGCCCATCTATTTTGCCCTGGGCCATTGTGCACTATTAACCAGCTCTGTGGGTCAAGCCCTCTTGGCTGCCACTCCAACTGCTGTTCATTATGATAATTGTCTCCACCTGCCTTCTGGTGAGCACGTGCCACCACCACCTGGCCTCTATTGTTTTGGGGTCCTGTCATCTCCACTGCTATCCCTGAGCCTAGTGCTTTTTTTTTTTTGAGATGGAGTCTCACTGTGTTGCCCAGGCTGGAGTGCAGGGGTGTGAACTCAGCTCACTGCAACCATTGCCTCCCGGGTTCAAGTGATTCTCGGGCCTCAGCCTCCCGAGTAGCTGGGACTATAGGTGTGGGCCACCATGCCTGGGTAATTTTTTTATTTTTAGTAGAGACAAGATTTCACCATGTTGGCCAGGCTAGTCTCAAACTCCTGACCTCAAATGATCTGCCCACCTCGGCCTCCCAAAGCACTGGGATTATACACATGAGCCACCATGCCTGGCCTGAGCCTAGTTCTTGCTGGCCTCTTCCTCCTGTCAGTCCCTGCTACAGAGGAGAGCCATCGCTGAATTTTTAGTGATGCCAATGCCCCTCTTACTATCCCATTCTTTATGGCCTTAGCAGACGGTGTATCTTCCAGGCTGTCCCATGGAACATAATCCTCTGGTGGATCTTTTTGTCCCACCTTTGGAGTCAAACTGAAATATTGACCCTTCCTGGGTCTCAAGCCTGCTGGCTTTCGGATTCCACGACACCATTGGCCCTCCTGGGTCTCCAGCTTGCCGACTGCGGATCTTAGGACTTGACAGCTACCGTGGTCACATAAGCCAATTCTGTATAATTAGTCGATCTCTGTCTCTCCATATACATATTCTCAAACACAAACACACCCACACATCCTATTGGTTCTGTTTCTCTGGAGAACCCTGGCTAATATAGTTCCACCTCTTAGAGCGTTTCAGTCACTTCCTCTATGATCTTCAGTGGCAGTTGCAGCTTCACCTAGCATGGGCCACCACTTTTCCCATGCTTTTAGGAACCACCCTAGGGTAGACTTTGCACCATCTCCTGGTGTTCTTTGCCAGGGTGTTAACTCCTGTGTCTTGGGAGTGTGCTCAGAAATCAATCAGCTCTCCCGAGTGCAATCTTATGTTCTTGGTCATAAGCTCCCTTGATCAAGCATCCTCCGAATCCAGTCCTACTGTGTCCCCGGCTCCTGCAGACACATGCTCTCCAGGTCTTAGAGTCTTTGGCGGTACAGTCCCTTTTCTTCCTGCCTAGGCCCAGCATTTCACCTAGTTAGAGGCCTAGTGGCCAGTAGAGGAGGTGGGGACAGATCCTGAGGACAGCATCTGTTGTCTTGGGGAGAAGTCTCTCTATTATTTTCTTTTGTACTTTTTTTTTTTTTTGAGACAGAGTTTCACTTTTGTTACCCAGGCTGGAGTGCAGTAGCGTGATCTCGGCTCACTGCAATCTTTGCCTCCTGGGTTCAAGCGATTCTCCTGCCTCAGCCTCCTGAGTAGCTGGGATTACAGGCATGTGCCACCACACCCGGCTAATTTTGTATTTTTAGTAGAGAGGGTTTCACCGTGTTGGCGAGGCTGGTCTCGAACTCCTGATCTTTTGATCCGCCTGCCTCAGCCTCCCAAAGTGCTGGGATTATAGGCGTGAGCCACTGTGCCTGGCCATCTCCATTATTTTCAAGCAAGAAGGGGAGTGTTGGTTCTTAATAAGGAGGGCTGGGCTACTTCTGCTGATTCAGGGCTTCTTCGGGAGTTCTGGACAGCATATCCCCGTCCTGTGTCAGGGACCCATTTTTTAACCGGGACCTGACCTTGGCATTCAGATCTAGCTTGATTGAAGACTTAATCTTCTCTGGAGCTTGGCCACTCTGACTGTGACGTCTGGGTCTGGTCCTAGGCTCCCTGCCTCCTGCCAAGTTGATGAGAGCCTCTTTTGTATTTTTGGGAGGTTCTTTGGCTTTGTTTGTGGGCTTTAATTGCCTATTGATCCAGCAGCTTTTCATGATCTTTCCCTAAGGCGTCAATGGCATTACGCAGTAACCATCTGTAGTGGGCTGAATGGTGGCGCCCCAAGAGATGTCTACCCAAAGCCTCAGAATGTGACCTTACTTGGAAAAGGGGTCTTTGCAGATGTAATTAAGCTAAGGAACTCAAGTTCATCCTGGATTAGAGTATGCCCTGAATCCAATTATTGGTGTCATTATAAGAGAAAGGGGAGAGAGATTTGAGAGAGAGACACAGAGATAAGACAGGAAGACAGAGGCAGAGACTGGAGATTGAAGTCCCAAGGGTTGCCAGCAGCCATGAGGAGAGGCATAGAACAGATTCCCCTTCAGAGCACCCAAAGGAACTAAACCTGCTGACACCTTGACCTTGGACTTCTGGCCTCCAGAATGTATTTCCATTTCTTTAAGCTGCCAAGTTTATGGTACTTTGTTAGAGCAACCTTAGAAAACTGACACTCCCCCCAATCCCATTGCTTTCTTTTTTTTGAGATGGAGTCTCGGTTTGTCACCCAGGCTGGAGTGCAATGGCACGATCTTGCTTCAGTGCAACCTCCCCCTCCCGGGTTCAAGCGATTCTTCTGCCTCAGCCTCTCGAGTAGCTGGGACTACAGGTGCGCACTACCATGCCCGGCTAATTTTTGTGTTTTTAGTAGAGACAGAGTTTCACCATATTGGCCAGGCTGGTCTCAAACTCCTGACCTTGTGATCCGCCTGCCTCAGCCTCCCAAAGTGTTGGGATTACATGCGTGAGCCACCGCACCCTGCCCTGTTATAAATCTTTAAGAAAGAAAGAACTAAGATGGAGAGCAACTACGGGCCAGGCACTTTAGGAAATTTCTTGTTGGTTAAGTTAGAACAACCCTAAAAGCCCTTCATTACTTTTTCTAATTTTAGAAAGGAGGAAACTAAAGCTCAGAGGAATGAAACATTTTGCCTAAAGTCAACAGCGTTAGTAAGAAATGGAAGCCAGTTATAGTGGCTCACCCTTGTAGTCCCAGCACTTTGGGAGGCCAAGGTGGGTGGAGTGCTTGAGCTCAGGAGTTCAAGACCAGCCTGGGCAACATAGTGAGACCCCATCTCTACACAAAATACAAAAATTATCTGGGTGTGGTGGTGTGCGCCTATGGTCCCAGCTACTCAAGAGGCTAAGGTGGGAGGATGGCTTCAGCCTTGACTGCAGTCAAGGCTGCAGTGAGCCGTGATTGTGCTACTGTATTCCAGCCTGGGCAACAGAGCAAGACCCTATCTCGAAAAAAAAAAATAATACAATAAATGAAAATAGCCAGAATTTAAGCCTAGTCTATGTGACCCTATAATCCTTTAAGAAGAAGCCAGGACCATCACAGAAATGCAAATCAAAACCACAATGAGATAGCATCTTACAGCAGTTAGAATGGCAATCATTAAAAAGTCAGGAAACAACAGGTGCTGAAGAGGATGTGGAGAAATAGGAACAATTTTACACTGGTGGTGGGACTGTAAACTAGTTCAACCCTTGTGGAAGACAGTGTGGTGATTCCTCAGGGATCTAGAACTAGGAATACCATTTGACCCAGCCATCCCATTACTGGGTATATACCCAAAGAAATATAAATCATGCTGCTATAAAGACACATGCACACGTATGTTTATTGTGGCACTACTCACGATAGCAAAGACTTGGAACCAACCCAAATGTCCAACAATGATAGACTGGATTAAGAAAATATGGCACATATACACCATGGAATACTACGCAGCCATAAAAAATGATGAGTTCATGTCCTTTGTAGGGACATGGATGAAGCTGGAACCCATCATTCTGAGCAAACTATCACAAGGACAAAAAACCAAACACCGCATGTTCTCACTCATAGGTAGGAATTGAACAATGAGAACACCTGGACACAGGATGGGGACCATCACACACCGGGGCCTGTTGTGGGGTGGGGGGAGGGGGGAGGGATAGCATTAGGAGATATACCTAATGCTAAATGACGAGTTAATGGGGGCAGCACACCAACATGGCACATGTATACATATGTAACAAACATGCACATTGTGCACATGTACCCTAGAACTTAAAGTATAAAAAAAAAGCCTCAAATGTAACCTTGTCACCTGCAAATAAGTAAATAAGTAAGTAAGTAAATAAATAAATAAAAAGCCAGGAAGGGAACATTGCCTCTCGTGTACATGTAGCCAACTCAGAGAAGAGAGGATTGCAATTAGCGAGAGCTCATCTGTTACCTAGTGAAAGGCAGAATGTGTTTGTAGTCTTTATTTAGAAAAACATGATTGCAGGCAAAATCTGAACCAGAGATATCATCTGGCAGCTTTGCAGGAGGTCCCTTGTTAGAAGGTTTGACTCCTTCTTGGGTGATATGGCATAGGATAAATGGTTAGTCACAACGTATGACCAAAAAAAAAAAAAAAAAAGACTGGATTATTAAAAAAAAAAAACTGGAAAAAAGGGGCTTCTAAAAAAGCACTGATAGTTTGTTATGAGAGAATTCTCATGTTGGAGTCAGAAAGCCTTAGGTTACTAATTTTTTTCTAATGCATGTTTATTAGCGAGAATACTGAACAGCAAATAGAAGAGAATCACAATCATTTACAGCCCTACCACACAGAGATAATCATGGCTCACATTTTGACGCTGAGCCTTCTAGTCTTTTTCTTGTGAATAAATGACTATTGATAGATCAAATATATTTATGTAAAAATATATTTATTTGTATACAATTACATGTTTTATGGATTTTATTTTACCAATATGGAACCATAATGTACAGATTGGCTTTCTAAAAAATAGCAATTTTTTTCTAATTAAAAAGTAACATATGTTCGTGGAGAGATTCAGAAAATGAAGAAAAATATGAAGAAGAAAATAAAAGTCACCTGCAAGGCTACTGCATTAGTCTGTTGTTGTGTTGCTATAAAGAAATACCTGAGGCTGGGTCATTTATAAAGAAAAGAGGTTTAATCGGCTCAGAGTTCTGGAGGCTGTACAGGAAGCATGGCACTGGAATCCGCTCAGCTTCTCGGGAGGCCTCAGGGAGATTTTACTCGTGGCAGAAGGTGAAGGGGGAGCAGGCAGTTTCCATGACCAGAGCAGGAGCCAGAGAGGGCGAGCAAGGTGCCACATACTTTCAGTAATCAGATCTTGTGAGAACTCTCTCTATCACGAGGACAGTACCAAGCCGTGAGGGACCCGCCCTCATGACCCAAACGCCTCCCACCAGGTCCCACCTCCATCACTGGGAATTACATCTCAACATGAGATTTGCAGGGAACATCCAAACTCTATCAGTTACTTTCCATAAGATTGACTGTTTTGTAACTTGATGTTTTATTTATTTTTATGTTTTCAATTTTTAAATTATTTACATTTATTTATTTATTTTTGAGACAGGGTCTTGCTGCGTTGCTCAGGCTGGAGTGCAGTGGTGTGATCATGGCTCACTGCAGCTTCAACCTCCCAGCCTCAAGCCATCCTCCCGCCTTAGCCCCCTGAGTAGCTGGGACTATAGGTGCACACCACCACATCTGGCTAATTTTTTTACTTTTTTGTAGAGACTGGGGTCTCTATGTTACCCAGGATGGTCTCGAACTCCTGACCTCAGGTGATCCACCTGCCTCAGCCTCCCAAAGTGCTGGCATTACAGGCGTGAGCCACAGGGCTTGGCCATGTAACTTGATTTTTTAAAAGCCAGTGCTAAAATGGAACTCTTGAATCAGGTTTATGAGATTCCAATGTTAACACCACGGCTTTCTGTGTAACCAAAGGCAAATTCCTAATCCTCTCTCCAGAAACCCTGAGTTTCCTCACCTGGAACGTGGGGATTATGAGAGTTTCTTGACCATTGCAGGTCAAGCACTTGGTTTAATACATGGTACATAGCAAGCAGTCACATATGCTTGCTCATAGAATATATTAAACTATGAGTTGCTCTTACAACAGGAAAATTTATTTAAAATAACTATTTTTGTTACCCTTTGCATTTTTTTCTTTGTTGTTGTTTTTTTTTTTTTTTTTTTTTTTGAGACAGGATCTCACCCTGTCACCCAGGCTGGAGTGCAGTGGCGTGATCTCAGCTTACTACAGCCTCAACCTCCCAGGTTCAAGTGATCCTCCCACCTCAGCCTCCTGAGTAGCTGGGACTACAGATGCACACTGCCATGCCTGGCTAATTTTTTATTTTTATTTTTCATTGAGACAGAGTCTCGGTCTGTCGCCCAGGCTGGAGTGCAGTGATGTGATCTCGGCTCATGCAACCTCCACCTCCTGGGTTCAAGCAATTCTTGTGTCTCAGCCTGCCAGGTAGTTGGAATTACAAGCTTGAGCCAACATGCTTGGCTAATTTTTGTATTTTTGGTAGAGATGATGTTTCACCATGTTGGCCAGGCTGGTTTCGAACTCCTGGCCTCATATGATTTACCCGCCTCAGCCTCCCAAAGTGCTGGGATTACAGGCATGAGCCACCGTGCCTGGCCCTGGCTAATTTTTTGTATTTTTAGGAGAGATGGGGGTTCCACTATGTTGCACAGGCTGGTTTCGAACTGCTGGGCTCAAGCCACCCACCGGCCTCAGCCTCCCAAATTGCTGGGATTACAGGCATGAGCCACTGTGCCCAGCCCTACTCTTGGTATTTTCCATTCCTCCTTGAACCTTTCTCAACCCATCCCCCTTCACCACTCAGTCATCAGCTGAGTAGTAGTTTTAAGTAACCCTGGAGGGCTGGTTAAAATACATTGCTGAGTCTCATTTGCATTTGTAACAAATTCCCGGGTGACACAGTTGCTGCTAGTCCAGGAACCATGCTTTGATAACCACTTTGCTAGATTATTCTGAGACAAATTATCCTAGAAAAGGGATGTGTTGGCAGCGGAAAGGGCGCTGCTTCTGGCTTTGAGTTTCTTAAGCCTGGGCTTCCAAGGGAATGAATAGAACTCAGGGCATATTTAATATATTTGGGAGAAAAATTTGAGGACTCAGATAAAATCTGCTTGTCCTTAGAACTACAAAATGATTCTTTGCACTAGAGTGGAGGAGACAGACAGAGACGGCATGAGGAGGTGGAGAGTTTGTGGGTTTGGATCTAAAGGGATCACCTGGACTGGAGCTGAGCTAGCTTCTGCACACCAGCCAGCTTCTACCTGTGTTAATACCGTCCCCACCTGCAACAGGGAGCATTTGGGAAAGGAGTCCATGTCTGGGGGCTTCCTAGCCTCCATTTTAAGGGCTGTGCTGTCTCCTCTTGCTGGTGAGCAGTGAGGACTTCCTCCAACAGCACCCAGCAAAGTCCTTCAGGAGCAATGCTTATCTATGCTCTCCGACGGCTCAGTGCCTATCCAGCAACACGGTCCAGGGCACAGGGTAACTAACTACACCTAACCACTCCTCTTTCTATATTCAGGGACACTTCCAATCCTTCTGAGATGGAGGTGGGGTCTTGATCTGAGCGCCCAAGCTTCTCATGTAACACTGTAAACTTTTCTCTTTAGAATTATTCTCCCCAGCCTCTGACTTGAACACAGACAGGTGTAAGATTTAGTCCAGTCACCTCAACAGGTGTTGTTGATTGGAGCGTCCCTTTGCACATAATGGGGGCTGTAAATATGACTACCTGCTCACAGGTGGACTGAGCCTTAGGAAAGTAAGTGCTATGAAAGGGAGGGGAGATAAAGGTTACATTTTATTGAGCATCTACTATGGCCCATCCTTGCGCTAGGTGCTTTTGCATGCATATCTCATTAAATACCCACCTCAGCTCCTACAGGCATGTGTAAGAAACACCGAGGCTCAGAAGGTGGAAGTAGCAGGTTCAAAGTCACACTCCAAACACTAGAGAAACCTACATGGGTATGAAGATTCTTTACCTGTCAGGAGGCTTTTTTAAATTTTTTTTAATTTTTTTTCTTTGAGAGAGAGGGTCTCTCTCTGTGGTCCAGGGTAGAATGCAGTGGTGTGATCATAGCTCACTACAGCCTCAAACTCCTGTGCTCAAGTGATCTTCCTGCCTCAGCCTCCTGAATAGCTGGGACTACAGGGGTGCGCCACCATGTCTGGCTAGTTTTTTAATATTTTGTAGAAGTGGGGTCTCACCATGTTGACCAGACTGGTCTTGAACTCCCGGCCTCAAGCGATCCCACTGCCTCGGCATCAGGATGCTTTTAAACTCCAGCTGCCTCTACCCCTCAGCGCAGTGATAGAACCTCCTCTTATGTGCGCTGACATCCTGTGTGCTCCTGTACATCACGCACAGCCCAGATTTTGCGTTGGCAAAAGAGGGTACATGCCATGCTTGGCATCTTGACCTGGACCAGCTAGCAGTGACTACACTCGACTGGAGCTGTACAAGTAAGTCACTAGCTTTGTGTGTCATTGGGCAAGGGACAATCCCTCAGTTTCTGTAACTCTAAAATAGGAATAAGACTTCATGCCTCGTAGGATTGTTATGAGGGCCAAAGGGGATGACACTGGAAAGACGGTTTCCGACACCTGAGGAAGGAGTGGATGGACTGAGAAAATTTTGCATCTTGTTGACTCCTTTTCCTGGCTGTGCAACCTGATATTTCGTTTTTTGTTTTTTGTTTGCTTTTTTTTTTTTTCCAGACAGGGTCTCATTCTGTTGCCCAGGCTGGAGTGCAGTGGCATGATCATGGCTCACTACAGCCTTTACCCAGCACAAGTGATCCTTCCACTTCAGCCCTCCCAAGTAGCTGGGACTACAAGCATGTGCCACCATGCCTGGCTAATATTTAGAAATTATTTTTTGTAGAGATGGGGTCTTTCTACATTGCCCAGGCTGGCCCTGAACTGCTGGGCTCGAGTGATCCTCTCCCTTTGGCCTCCTAAAGTGCTAGGATAACAGGCATGAACCACTATGCTTGGCCTGATATTTTTGAATTTTAGTTTCTTCATGGGGTTGGGAAGATTGAATAAGAAACTTTAAATAAAAGTGTTTGCCATGGTACCAGTAGACATTTAACACAGTGAGTTGGTCACTGTGAATCCCTATGTGATCAGTAGAGAATGGCTGGGTGGCTGGCTGAATGAAATGGCACTATGCAAACACTACAGCTTCTCCCAGGACACTGTGCCTTCCTTTACTTACGTTATCTTTTTTAGCATTCACGCATTTCTGAGAGATGAGTATCATTATCCCCAGTCTACAGATAAGGAAACCCGGAAACTGAGACTCAGTGAGGTTGAGTGATTTGTCCAGGATTCAGCTGGGAATTGGCAAAGCAAGTTCAACATCCAAGTCTGTTTTAGTTTGAGAGAAAGGAAGGATAAAGAGAGAACAGTCAAAAAAGCAAGGAAAAACTGACATTTTTCAGTGGATTTCCAGAGGTATAAAACAAAAAGAAACAAACAGAACTGGATTTGTCATGCGTTACCTTCTGCATGCTTCCCATTTACATTGTTAATGACTTCTTCATAGTACGACCTTCTCATTTTTCAAATTAAAGTATAATTTACATGTAGTAAAGCACATCCTATTTAGTGCATAGTTCTACAAGTTTTGACAAATGTATGCAATTGTGTACCTACCACCACAATCAAGATGTAGAACAGTTCTGTCTTTCCCCCAAATTTCCCAACCCCTCAACCCCTGGCAACTTATTATCTGTTTTCTGATCTTATAGTTTTGCCTTTTTAAAAATGTCATATAAATCAAAGGCCAATATCATATCATAAAATGATATTTGGCCTTTTGAATCTGGCTTCTTTCACTTGGCATATCTGTACAGTGTATCTTCAAATGTTTGCTAGGCACAGACTCTTGGCTATTATTCTTGTAAAGTTTTTTTTTTCCTGTTTAGGATGCAGAGAAAAAAATCTCTGTAATTTTCCAAAGGCAATTTTCTCTTTAAATAGTGTTCAAAAGGGGATGAGGGGAAAGAAAGGAAATTTAAGCTATTTTCTCTTCAAATCTTCTGTGCCCTGGGAAACACAGTAGAGTCTGGTCAACTTTTCATGATGTCAAAGATGAAAATTTGTATCATCCTAGGTGATCAGTCGTTCCTGATCAAATCTTCAGGGGACTCTTAGGAGTTGGCGCAGCAGTTAAAGGGAAATGAGTCTTGATTTTAAGCAATATAAAGACTCACTCCCGGTTGGGTGCAGTGGCTCACACCTGTAACCCCAGCACTTTGGGAGGCCAAGGTGTGCGGATCACCTGAGGTGGGGAGTTCGAGACCAGCCTGACCAACATGGAGAAACCCCATCTCTACTAAAAATACAAAATTAGCTGGGCGTGGTGGCACATGCCTGTAATCCCAGCTACTCGGGAGGCTGAGGCAGGGGAATCGCTTGAACCCAGAAGGCGGAGGTTGCGGTGAGTCGAAATCGTGCCATTTCACTCCAGCCTGGGCAACAAGAGTGAAAGTGAAACTCTGTCTCAAAAAAAAAAAAAAAAAAAAAAAAGATTAAGCCCCAGACATAAGGCATTTGCTTGGAAGATAGGGGAGGCGGTGAATTGATTAGAGATGAGCAGATCGGAGATGACAGGGATAATGAAGGGTGTGCACTCTTGTTGGCCGGAAGACATGGAGACCAAGGAGAAAGTTCTGTATCCATCCATCCATGTATTTAACAAATGTTTTCTGAGCACATATGTTATACAAGAGTGAACAAGATATAGTCCTCCTGCTCTTCAAAGGGGTCACAGTTAGGGCTTCCACGTGTAGTTGTGTAGGGTGTACACTGGATAACTCCAGGGGCCACCCTTTACAGCTCTTGTGAGTTGTGCATGTATAACCCATGCAGCTATGCCACAGTCTAGAGAGGAAGACAAGGCAGGTAAACATGCAATTATGGTACACTATTTAAGTTAAGTAAAAAGGGAGATTGTTCAAGCTCTTGGATGTGAGGGTGGATTTCAGATAAGGCTTCCCCGAGGAAGCGATACCTAAGCTGAGCCTTGTGGATAAATAGGAGTTAGCCAGGTGAATATGTGGGGGTTGGTGGGGGGAGTTCCAGGCAGAGAAAATAGCATTTGAAAAGCCCTGGGGGCAAGAACAAGGGATCTGCGAGCAGTCATGTGGTTGGAGTGAGGAAGGAAGGCAAGTGAGGACTAAGACAGATGAGTCTAGATAAGTCGGCAGGGGTCCCATCATAAAGGGTCTTGCAGGCTGAGGAGCGTGGACTTTATCCTGAGGCCAGTGAAGACACATTGAAGGGTCTTGAGGGATGTGACATGGTCAGAGCCACTCTTTAGAAAGATCGCTTAGCCAGCTCTGCGGAAGATGGGTTGGCAAAGGGACTAGACAGAAAGCATGGAGTTTAGTCAGGAGGCTGGGACAATAACACAGGTGCAAGATGAGAGTGGCTCAGAGTAAGGTCGTGGCAGTTGGTGTGGAAAGAAGGGGCTGGAGATGAACTATATTAGAACAGTAGAATCGTCAAGGTTTGGTGATGGGTTAAATGCTACAGGGGATAGAAAGGCCAGGACGAAGGGTGACCCTCAGGTTGCTGGCTGATCGTTGGATATACAGTGGGCCTGTTTACGGAGCTGAACTAGGGAGGTGAGGCTTGTGGGTACAGCGATGAGCTCTATTTGGGATGTGTTGAGTTTGAGGTGCCTGGGGACCCACAGGTGGAGATGACGGTAGCTTATATAGCTCTGATGCTCAGAGGGTGATATGGGGGTCCACATATACCCACAGTTACTGGAGATGATCACCCAGGGACCTTGTGAGAAGTCAGAGGAAGAAAAGACCTGGAATAGAACCCCAGGAAGCACCCACACTATGGGACGGACTAAAGCCAATGAGAGGAGATGAAGAAGGAGAGCTACACCACATCCTCCCTCTTCCTGTGACTTCCTGGGTGGCCAAGTTTGGCCTTGGCCAAAATGAAACAGGGTCAGGTTGATCTATGAGCTCTTAAAATATTCATCTTGGCACCCTCAGCTATTGGCATAGAGCCTGGCAAATAGGGGTACTCATCAGATGTTGGCTGAAAAAAAAAAAGGATTAAGTGAATAAATGTAAAAGTGTGGCTATAAAGCACTGAGCCTTTAAAAGCAATACACCAGTGTTCATACAACATATCCAAAAACATGTTGCTCTCTGCAAAGCAGTTGCCTTAGTGAATATTGATCTCCGTGTGAGAAAGGCCTTTAAAAGTATACAAGCAAAGACAGATCTGTAGAGAAAGAGATTTATATATCCAACTACAATGAAAGTAAAAAAATATAATTTAAAAAACCATTAAAGATTGAAAAGCAAATGACAAATGAGAGAAGGCAAAATATATAACATACAAAGGTTAGGTTTCTTTAGTACATAAGCAGTCCTCACACAAACATTTAAAAGATAAATACTTCAATATGAAAATAAGCAAAAGTCATGAACAGGCAACCCATAAAAGAATAAATACAAAAAACAAATAAGTATATTAAAAAGTTCCATCTGGTGGGGTGTGGTGGCTCACACCTGTAATCTCAGCACTTTGGGAAGCCAAGGCAGATGGATCACTTGAGGTCAGGAGTTCGAGACCAGCCTGGCCAATATGGTAAAACCCCATCTCTACTAAAAATACAAAAATTAACTGGGCATGGTGGTGGGCGCCGGTAATCCCAGCTACTCCAGAGGCTAAGTTTGGAGAATCGCTTGAGTCGGAGAGGTGGAGGTTACAGTGAGTGGAGATCTTGCCACTGCACTCCAGCCTGGGCAACAGAGTGAGATTCCATCTCAAAAAAAAAAAAAAAAGTTTCATCTTATTAATAATCAAAACATTCACCTTAAAATAACATTTTTCACTTACTAACTTGGCAAAGAATTTTTTTTCTGGGCATATTTTACCTCCAATGGCAATGAATTTTTTTTTTTTTCACTCTGTCTCCCAGGCTACAGCTCAGGGGCACCATCACAGCTCACTGCAGCCTCCACCTGCCAGGGTAAGGTGATCCTCCCACCTAAGCCTCCCAGGTAGCTGGGACTACAGGCATGTGCCATCACACCCAGCTAATTTTTTGTAGTCTTAGTAGAGATGGGGTTTCGCCATGTTGCTCAGGCTGGTCTTGAACTCTGGGCTCAAGCGATCCACCCACCTCAGCCTCCCAAAGTGCAGGGGTTACAAGCATGAGCCACTGCAACTGGCCTGCAATGAAGTTTTAAAGTTTTTAAGATATACATACTTTTTGACCCAGAAATTCTATTTCTCAAAATTTGTATTAGCAAATAATCAGAGGTATACAAAAAATATCTAAATACAAAATATTCATTGCAGCATAATTTTAATAGCAACAAAACTGGAAACAACAAAAACAATCACATTGCAAATAATTCATGTTCTTGTTTTTTTTTTATCTTTTCTGTTTTCTACTTTCTACAGTAAAGATAAATGGTCTTTGCAATTCAGAAAACAAACAAGAGCTGCTTTTTTGGAAAAGAAAAAAATCACCTTAACTACAAATATCCTTTTGGAGGGTTGCCATTGTTCAAAATCACCAGAGCCCCCTCTTTAGCAGTCTGAAGAGCTAGTTGCTGAGGCACACAGGAAATTGCTCTCCTTATTCCGTTGTCATCATTTCATTTTACATAAACACAGCTATGGATAGCCCACCTTTCTCATCTGCCTCTATACCAAAATGACTTCGGGGTCTTGTGAAAAATCACTCTCTCAAAGAATGAAAATTTTCTTTTCACTAAAGAAATGCAAAGGAATGGTGTTTGGATTTTCGGTATATATTTAGGATTTTAGGTATATATATTTAGGATTTTCGGTATATATATTTAGGATTTTCGGTGTATATATTTAGGATTTTCGGTGTATATATTTAGGATTTTCGGTGTATATATTTAGGATTTTCGGTGTATATATTTAGGATTTTCGGTGTATATATTTAGGATTTTCGGTGTATATATTTAGGATTTTCGGTGTATATATTTAGGATTTTCGGTGTATATATTTAGGATTTTCGGTGTATATATTTAGGATTTTCGGTATATATTTAGGATTTTCGGTATATATATTTAGGATTTTCGGTATATATATTTAGGATTTTCGGTATATATTTAGGATTTTCGGTATATATATTTAGGATTTTCGGTATATATATTTAGGATTTTCGGTATATATTTAGGATTTTCGGTATATATATTTAGGATTTTCGGTATATATATTTAGGATTTTCGGTATATATATTTAGGATTTTCGGTATATATATTTAGGATTTTCGGTATATATATTTAGGATTTTCGGTATATATATTTAGGACTTTCGGTATATATATTTAGGATTTTCGGTATATATTTAGGATTTTCGGTATATATATTTAGGATTTTCGGTATATATATTTAGGACTTTCGGTATATATATTTAGGACTTTCGGTATATATATTTAGGACTTTCGGTATATATTTAGGACTTTCAGTATATATATTTAGGACTTTCGGTATATATATTTAGGACTTTCGGTATATATATTTAGGACTTTCGGTATATATATTTAGGACTTTCGGTATATATATTTAGGACTTTCGGTATATATATTTAGGACTTTCGGTATATGTATTTAGGACTTTCGGTATATGTATTTAGGACTTTCGGTATATATATTTAGGACTTTCGGTATATATATTTAGGACTTTCGGTATATATATTTAGGACTTTCGGTATATATTTAGGACTTTCGGTATATATATTTAGGATTTTCGGTATATATGTTTAGGATTTTCGGTATATATGTTTAGGATTTTCGGTATATATGTTTAGGATTTTCGGTATATATGTTTAGGATTTTCGGTATCTATATTTAGAACTTTCGGTATCTATATTTAGGACTTTCGGTATCTATATTTAGGATTTTCGGTATCTATATTTAGGATCTCCGGTATCTATATTTAGGACTTTCGGTATCTATACTTAGACTTTCGTATCTATATTTAGGATTTTCGGTATCTATATTTAGGATTTTCGGTATCTATATTTAGGATTTTCGGTATCTATTTAGGATTTTCGGTATCTATTTAGGATTTTCGGTATATATATTTAGGATTCTCGGTATATATATTTAGGATTTTCGGTATATATTTAGGATTTTCGGTATATATACTTAGGATTTTCGGTATATATATTTAGGATTTTCGGTATATATATAGGATTTTCTGTATATATTTAGGATTTTCGGTATATATATTTAGGATTTTCGGTATATATATTTAGGATTTTCGGTATATATATTTAGGATTTTAGGTATATATATTTAGGATTTTAGGTATATATGTATACTGTTTATCATGGTGCTTAGCATATGCAGCTCAGTAAATAGTAGCAGTTGTTATTCTCATTTTCTTATTTGGTTTTATTTATTTCTGCAGTTGTCTAGGAGGCCAGATTGCTAAGGCCAGTTGGGTGAATTCTCCAGCCAATGCTTTTGATAAAATAGTAACTCATTCCATCAGTTATTTTGGGTTCATTCTGTAGCCTACTACCTTAAAATGTCAAGATTCCAAGACCTAGAGAGGCAAATACATACTGGCAATGAAATGCCTTAGCAACACTCAGGGACTGTGGGAATGGACATTATAATTCCTCAGTGCACATTAACGTGTGATCTTAAGGCAAAGACTTAGGGCTGAACTCTGGTCTGCCCTTCACTGCCATTTAGCCATGGGGAAGGGAAGTGCTGCCTCCTTTGCCTGGTACCGCGGTACCGTTTGAAGAAGACTGGATTGCACAGTGTCACCTCTAGAGGGAGCTTAAGCTTGTCTTCCCAATTCCAAAGTTGGGTCTGGATGGAGGTGAGAGATGATAAAGTGGATTAAAGGACAGACTGGGTTTGTTTTTCCCCACAAAAAAACTATCTTTGTTGTTTTATTTTCATATTATTCATTAATTTTAAAAAAACCCACCATTTATGTTGGAACTACTCATTCATCAGTTACAACTCTAAGTTGACTATGAATACGAGAATTTGGAAAAAGCCAATACAAATATTCTTTCTTTTTTATTTTTATTTATTTATTTAGAGACGGAGTTTCACTCTTGTTGCTCAGTCTGGAGTGCAATGATGTGATCTCGGTTCACTGCAACCTCTGCCTTCCAGGTTCAAGTGATTCTCCTGCCTCAGCCTCCCAAGTTGCTGGGACTACAGGCACACACCACCATGCCCAGCTAATTTGTATTTTCAGTAGAGACGGGGGTTTCTCCATGTTGGTCAGGCTGGTCTCGAGCTCCTGACCTCAGGTGATCTGCCCGCCTCGACCTCCCAAAGTGTTGGGATTACAGGCGTGAGCCACTGTGCCTGGCCTCTTTGTTTCTTCTTTTTCAACTTTTATTTTAGGCTTAGGGGATATACATGCAGGTTTTTTGCATGGGTAAATTGTGTGTCACTGGGGTTTGGAGCACAAATAATTTCATCACCCAGGTAGTGAGCATAGTGCTCACTAGGTAGCTTTTTGATTCTCACCCTCCTCCCACCCTCTACTCTCAAGTAAGCTCCAGTGTCTATGATTCCCTTGTTTGTGTCTATCCGTACTCAATGTTTAGCTCCACTTGGAAGTGAGAACATGTGGTATTTGGTTTTCTTTTCCTGCATTAATTTGCTTAGGATAATTGCCTCTAGCTGCATCCATGTTGCTGCAAAGGACAGGATTTTGTTCTTTTTTATGGCCATGTAGTATTCTATGGTCTATATGTACCACATTTTCTTTATCCAGTCCACTGTTGATGGGCATCTAGGTTGATTCTATGTCATTGCTATTGTGAATAGTGTTGCAATCAACATGAGTGCATGTGTCTTTTTGGTAGAACGATTTATATTCCTTTGGATATATACCCAGTAATGGAACTGCTGGGTTGATTAATAGTTCTGTATTAAGTTCTTTGAGAAATCTCCAAATTGCTTTCCACAGTGGCTGAACTAATTTACATTCCCTCCAACAGCATATAAGCATTCCCTTTGCTCTGCAACCTTGCCAACATCCGTTATTTTCTGACTTTTTAACAATGGCCATTGTGACTGGTGTGAGATGGCATCTCATTATGGTTTTGATTTGCGTTTCTCTAATGATTAATAATGTTGAGCATTTTTTTCATATGTTTGTTGGCCGCGTGTATGTCTTCTTTTGAGATGTGTCAAAGGACAGACTTTGGAAACGTGACAGATCTCCTTTTGAATTCAAGCTCTATCACTCACGACTGCATAAGCTTGAGCAGTCATTTTCCCTCTTTGAGTTTCATCCATTGTTGAAATGGGGTTATAAAAATGGCTATTTCATAGAGGTGTTATGTGACGAATTGAGATAGCAAAAATAATCACTGTAAATAAAGCCTAGTACATTGCAGGTGCTCTACAGATGGTATCTCTACTAAAAGATTCAAAGCACACAATTAGGCCATACCGCTAGAGGGGTACAAAGAGATCATAAGTAGAACTAGATGGGGAGGGGAACTCTACTGGCCTTTTCCTTCCTTGAAATTTCGGGGTTGCACTTCTCTCTCTTACCTCCAATGAACCCAATGCCAGGGCTGCCTCCCTGACTCACGGGCTCTAGCCCTTTGGGCTCTACCCAAATTGGATAGAGTAGAAAGGAGGGGTAGAGTGGATGGTCGTGACAGCAGCTCTGCAGTGTTTGAAGAACCAAGATTAGAGTGTGGGGCTGAACAAAAGGAACCAGGGATAATAGTTTTCATTTGCATGCCTAGTCTGAGTTTGGGAGTGGAGGCATGTGCTGAGGAGGAATCTGGGGCCGCATTCAAGACTAAATGTTCTGATCAATTAGCATGGCCTGCTGTGGTTGTGGGATAGGTTGTGGGGTAGTATGCACATATACCACACATTTGCCTTCTGTGGCCTGGCAAAGTGCTATTTCATCATGTGCTGTGGACCAGTGCTTGCCAGTAAACTATTTGAAACTGGCCTGCAACAAGGTAAAAAGTGAAATTGAGGTGGTTTAGACATTAAAAAAAATTTTTTTTTATTATACTTTAAGTTCTAGGGTACATGTGCACAACGTGCAGGTTTGTTACATATGTATACATGTGCCATGTTGGTGTGCTGCACCCATTAACTTGTCATTTGCATTAGGTATATCTCCTAATGCTATCCCTCCCCCTCCCCCCACCCCACGACAGGCCCCGGTGTGTGATGTTCCCCTTCTGTGTCCAAGTGTTCTCATTGTTCAATTCCCACCTATGATGAGAACATGTAGTGTTTGGTTTTTTGTCCTTGCGATAGTTTGCTGAGAATGATGGTTTCCAGCTTCATCCAATTTCCTACAAAGGACATGAACTCATCTTTTTTATGGCTGCATAGTATTTCATGGTGTATATGTGCCACATTTTCTTAATCCAGTCTATCATTGTGGACATTTGGGTTGGTTCCAAGTCTTTGCTATTGTGAATAGTGCCGCAATAAACATGCGTGTGCATGTGTCTTTATAGCAGCATGATTTATAATCCTTTGGGTATATACCTAGTAATGGGATGGCTGAGTCAAATGGTATTTCTAGTTCTAGGTCCTTGAGGAATTGCCACACTGTCTTCCACAATGGTTGAACTAGTTTACAGTCCCACCACCAGTGTAAAAGTGTTCCTATTTCTCCACATCCTCTTCAGCACCTGTTGTTTCCTGACTTTTTAATGATCGCCATTCAAACTGGTGTGAGATGGTATCTCATTGTGGTTTTGATTTGCATTTCTCTGATGGCCAGTGATGATGAGCATTTTTTCATGTGTCTGTTGGCTGCATAAATGTCTTCTTTTGAGAAGTGTCTGTTCATATCCTTCGCCCACTTTTTGATGGGGTTGTTTGTTTTTTTCTTGTAAATCTGTTTGAGTTCTTTGTAGATTCTGGATATTAGCCCTTTGTCAGATAAGCAGATTGCAAAAATTTTCTCACATTCTGTAGGCTGCCTGTTCACTCTGATGATAGTTTCTTTTGCTGTGCAGAAGCCCTTTAGTTTAATTGGATCCCATTTGTCAATTTTGGCTTTTGTTGCCATTGCTTTTGGTGTTTTAGACATGAAGTCCTTAACCAAGCCTATGTCCTGAATGGTATTGCCTAGGTTTTCTTCTAGGGTTTTTATGGCTTTAGGGGTTTAGACATTTTTATAGCAGTTTGACACAGTAATTTTATGTCTATTGAATCTAATAAAACATTTCGGCTTTGACTTTGTATGTCGTTTTTTCTTTTTTCAAGTAATTCATTTTTATTGTATTTTTATAGAAGTATCAAAAAAAATTGCCCTTTACTAAAGACTAAGGAACACTGGCTGAAAGGTTAGGCAAGAGGGGTAAAAGGAGTTCTTTCTGCTCCAATATAAACCACCAAGCTTATTTGAATAGGAGATGACAAAGTAGTAAGGGGTAGGCATTGCCTGGATTTCTGCAAATCTCCCTCAGGAACCTGCAGCAGTGAATGGCGCGGGGAGAGGTCAGCAATTTGGGATCCTGGCTGCCTTTGCCTCAGAGGATGGCCCATAAACCAAATACTCCCACTTGTTTTTTGCCATTTGTCCTCTCAAAGGTTGAGTGTTTGGGGGAAAACTGAGGCAGCTCAGCAAATAAGATGTAAGTTCTCACAAAAAGGTTGCAAGGTGCAGCTGTTAGAATGTGCACATGGCCTCCCTTGGAGACCCTGCAAAGAGAATGCACCGACTTGGGTCTATGTATAAGCCTCCTGAGTAGCAGCCCTGAGATCCACCGCCAAATGAGTGACGTGGATACAAACGTGGCGGGCTGCTTTCCTTCTCGGTTCTGGATGCTTACAGGTAAGAGTATTTGTATTTCCTCTATTGGATTCAGCTGTAGATTTGAGCAATCAGATTTCTATAGCAGGCCGAACAGGTCTAGGGAATGACGATTCCTGGTAAATTGTTTATATTGAAATCATAAAATATGAAGCCCATAACAGGGAAAGGCAGGGCAAAAATGAGTGCTTAGCAGAATAGGGGAATCTTGCAGACAGATGGCTGGGTGGGTGGATGACAGCCCTTCCCTCACCTGGGAGCTCTTTCCACTCCACCCACAAGCAGGAGCATCTTCTCTGCAGCTGAGGCTTTGCACAGCTGGCTCCAGAGGCACCATTCTCAGGAAGTGTGGGGACTAGTATTGGTAGAGGCCACGTGTTACTTATGGTGATCTACAGCCTGAGACAGAGTCAGACAGACCTGGGTTCAAATCCTGGGCAAGTTGCTTTATGTTTCTCAGTTTCCTCATCTTTGATGGCGGGGTGGGGGTGGGGGTGGGCGGTGATCTTAGGACCTCCTGCTATGATACTCAGGATCTGAGCTGACGAATACTGAGGGACAAATCCTGAATGCCCTTGCATGTTCTCATGGGGTGGGTTCTAAAAAGAGTTGAGGTGGGCTGAACATGAGAGGCCATATGGTCCAAGTCTTTTATGGTTTCAGATAGAGAACATGAGGCCCAGTGAAGGGAATGAAATTTCCTAACAATAATTAGCCAATGAGTGCCAGGATTGGGTCTAAACTCTAGGTTTCTTGATTTGCCAGCTAGCTAAAAAAATTCAAAACTGCTGTGTCATTCAAGGTCTAAAGTGCTCTGAAGCCAAAATGGTTTCCTAGTTTGGGGCTTACTTATGTGTGTAGCCAGGGTCCCAGGTTGAGCCTGAGTGGGGCTTCAGATCAGAATCCTGGCTCACTATAGCACTAGTACCTAACTGGGCAAGAAGTCATCTTGAGGAAAGGTGGCACCTAGCATAGCCAGCTTGACTCAGTCATAAATTCTGGTCCTCAATGGGGGCAGTGTGTGCAGTGTGGAGGTTCTTGCTTGACTCTGGGCTCAGCCCCTGACACTGGTGTCCTACCAAAGAAGAGAGCTGTGAAGTGAACTGTTTTACCAAAAAAATCTTTAATGTTTTGGGCACAAGTGGCACTACTATGTGACAATTCTAACAGAGGGTAGCGTGAAAGGAGACAAGAAGCATTTGTTCAATTTGGCAGCTACATCGCAGGGCAGATTGACCACCTGGAGGCTCCTCCAACTGTAGCAGAAAGTGGTTTTGTTCAGGGGGGACAGGGTACCCAGTGGATGCAAGAGAGAGCAGGCAGAAGCCTGTTGTGTTGTCGTAGGCCCTGCTAGCTGCCTACCCAGTACCACTCTCCCTTCTTTGCTAACTGAACTGCCATTTTGTGCAAAGAAGCACTGTGTCTGGCCCAAATTATGGATCTCTGAGTCAATTGGGATAATTCCATATCCCACTTTTCCGGGATCCCTTGAAATTAGCAGAGACCACATGACAAGAACTAGGGTTCTTGCCCGCTTTCTTCTCCTCTGTGCCTTGAATATAGATGTGATGTCTGGAACTGCAGCAGCCATTTATGTAGACTCTCCTGTAGGTAACTCCCTAAGCAAACAACAACAAACAAATGGAAATTTTCTATTTGTTTATGCCACTATAGTCAGGTTTTCTGTCCTTTGGGCGAGAAAGCCTTTGATAATGAACACGTGTAAAGAATACCTGCTGTAGGATCCTAAGAACTGTCGGATTTGGGAGGGAAGAGGGCTCTACAGAGAACTCTGGTGTTCTGCATAGCAATTTTGATGGCAGCATAGTAGTTAAGAAATGAGCTCCAAAGCAAGAAATATTAATAAGAGGCCTCATCATCAGAAAGGAAGCAACAAATATGTCATCAATTGTTGATATTGTATAATGATTGTGTACGTAAACCATCCAAAAGAATATATACAAAAACTATTAAATTAATAAGTGAATTTAGCAAGGTCACTGGATACAAGGTCAGTATACAGAAATTTTTTGATTTCTCAATACTGGCAACAAACCAAAAAATAAAAAATAAAAAAATCTATTTATAATGGTATAAAAGACATCAAATTTCTAGGACTAAATCAAATGAAACATGTATAAGACCTAAAAAAAAATAAAAAAGAAAAAACCTACAAAAATTATTTAGAGGAATTAAAGAATATCTAAAAAACAAGAAAGATATTTCATTTGGAAGACCATCTATTATAAAGATGACTATTCTCACCAAATTTATTCATAATCTTAATGCAATCTCAATTTAAAAAAAATCCCAACAGATATTTTGGTGGAGATTGGTAGGCCTGGAAAAGAGCTAAGAATAGCCAAAGCAAGCCTGAAGAAGAACAAAGCTGGTGGAATTCCACTGTCAGACGAAGATGTAAATAAAGATGTAACATAAAGCTATAGTAGCTAAGAGAGTGTGGTATTTGTCTAAGGATAGGCAGACCAACAGAGTAGCATAGCGAGGCCAGCAACACACCTTTGTATATATAGTCACCTGATTTACTTTCAGTACATGATGATGAGTCAACTTGATATTCACAAAGGCAATTCCAAGTGGATTGTAGATCTCAATGTGAGAGGTAAAACAATAATAGTTTTATAAGAAAACTGAGGGGAATATCTTCATGACCTTGGAGTGTGCAAATATTTCTTAAATAGCTCACACAATGTACAAACTATAAGGGAAAAATGGATGAATCAGACTACATTAAAATTTAAAAACTGCTACAGTGAGCAGATTAGTGATTGCATAGGGTGGGAGGGATGGGTTGGAGGGAAAATGGAAAGTGACTGCTAGTGGGAATGGAGGTTCTTTTTTGGAGTGATGAAAATATTCTAAAATTGATTGTGGTGATGATTGTACAACTCCGTGAATACACTAAAGCCACTGAGTTGTACATTTTCCGTGGGTAAATTGGTACATAAATTATATCTCAATACAGCTGTTAAAAAACACTTCTGTTCTATTAAAATCTATTAAGAGAGTGATGAGGAAATCCACAAAGTAGGATATAGTTGCAATACATATGTCTAATGAAGGACTTACATCCAGAATACTAAAAGAGTTTCTACAAATCAACAACAGAAAGCATGAAACTCAACAGGAAAATGAGCCAAAAGATAGAACAAGAACTTTACCAAAGAAGATATCAAAATGGGTAATAACCTCAAGAGAATGGGCTCAACTTCACTAGTCTTTGGGGGAATGAAGTTAAAACTACAATATGATATTATTATACACCCACCTGCATGGCTCAAATAAAAACAGCAGACACCTAAGAGTTGGCAAAGATGTGGAGCAACTGGAACCCTTAGATTCTTCTGGTGAAAAGTGTTTGGAACTATTTATGAAAGTTGAACATACCACATGAACCAGCAATTCTGCTCCCAGATAGATGCCCAATGGAAATGCGCACATATATGCATGAAAAGACAAATCACAGCACTATTTGAAATGGTGCCTAGCAGAAAATAACCCAAATGTCCACCAAAAGTAGAATGGAAAAATTGTGGGATAGTCATTCAATGAAATACTACATAGCAATAAAAATGAGTGCATTATTGCCCCCTTGGAACTGCATGGGTGAATCGCATGAAGATTATGAGGAAAGAAGATAGACACAAAAGGGTTCATATTGTAGGATTAGATTTATATAAAGTTTAGAAATAGCCAAGTGAGCTGTGGTCAGTCAGGACTGGCAGCGCCAGGGCTCATGCCTGTAATCCCAGTGCTCTGGGAGGCCAAGGCAGGAAGATGACTTGAACCCAGTAGTTCAAGGCTGCAGTGAGCTGATTGCACCACTGCATTCCAGCCTGGGTGATACAGTGAGACCATGTCTCTAAAAAGTAATAAGTCAGGATGGTTCTCCAGGTGAGGAGCTAGGGAACTGAGCAGGAGGGACTTCTGGGGTCTGATACTGTTCTTTTTCTTGATCCTCATGAGCCTTTGTACTGGGTTATATTCACTTTGTGAAAATACTTTGAACTGTACACTTATGAGTTGTACATTTTTCTGTATGTTTGTTATTCTTCCATAAAATGTTCACAATTAAAATGTAAAGAGAGTATGGACTCTGGAATCGGACTGCCTGGGTTCAAATCCTGAGTTGGCTTCTTCTTGTCTGTGTCCTTGGACAAGCTACCTACCATCTGTGTCTCAGTTTCTTAATATGCAAATTGGGGAGGTAAATAATACCTGCTTCATAGAACTGTAGCAAACAGTAAATGAGATAATACATGTAAAACCCTTGAAACTGAGCCTGGCAAATGGTAAATACTCTGTCAAGGTTGGCTCTTATTATTTCTATTACGTGACCATTTTGCAACCCAATCCTGGTGAGAAACAAAGGGAGGGAAAGAACTGAGAAGAGTTTTTTATTATTAATGTTTGGGTTTTGTAGCCAAAATGATTTTTTTTAAATCAAGATGATCTCTCAAACAACTTATTTGTTTTTTTTGTTTGCTTTTAGAGACAGGGTCTCGCTATGTTGCCCAGGCTGGAGTGGACTGGCTATTCACAAGGCGATGCCACTACAGATCAGCATGGAAGTTTTGGCCTGCTCTGTTTCCCACCTGGGCTGGTTCACCCCTCCTTAGGCAACCTGGTGGTCCCCTGCTCCTGAGAGGTCACCATATCAATGTCAAACTTAGTGTGGACACCCAATTGCCATAGCGCCCTACAGCCTAGAACTCCTGGGCCCAAGTGATCCTCCCACCTCAGCCTCCTGAGTAGCTGGTACTACAGGCACAAGCCATTGCACCCAGCCAAACAATTTGTAAGCTTGCTAGCAAAATAGTTTCCAAATCAAAACGAATCCAAGCCAACCAAAGAGCTCGAAATGCACAATGGTGCCCAGTTAGTCCCTAGCTTGTGATTAGCTTTGAATTTGAGGGAAGAGATTTTCTCATTAGCTTGCAGGTTTAAAAAAAAAAGGAAAAATATTCCTGGCTCACCAATATGTTAGCAAGCTAAAAGCCTGAAACTGAAGACTTCTCCCAGCTTTTTGCTTACTGTTGCCCTTGCCACGACCTTCCTAGTTGTGAGCTGCTAAAGGACCGACTCAGGATTCCTGATAATTCTAGCTCTTTGCTGTCTGATGGGCCGGAAAGACCTCACCTTGCCTTCGTGGTGGCTCTTGGCCTTGAAGCCTCATCTCTAATTATGGCATGAAACCTTTTGTCCTCCCTGAAAGGGTTTTCAGGCTTCAGAGATCAGATGGGGGATGTAGATAATGTTGGATCCTGGGAGTCACCTTGGTAGAGGACACAGAACCATGCCATGCCCTGGGGTGGAGGGATGAAATAAGAGCTAATAACAGTCCTGCTCTTTAGAACAAAACCCTGCCGGCTGGTTCAAAATGTCACCTGGCCCTTTTTTTTTTTTTAAAGCTAGGCAATTAAATGGCTACACCTGTAGTTGTTTCTGCATGAATCCTTTGGAACAGAGGGATTGTTGTTCCAGATCCCCAGGGCAAATGAAAACTGCATAAAGCTCTGATGAAAAACCAAAGACACCAGACATCCAGAGACAGACAAACACATTCCAGCCAGCTCAGAGCAACCTCACTCTGTGGTGCTGGCACCCTTCAAAGCCGAGCATATTCATTAGTTTCTCTCTTCGGGTCCCTCCAGCCATCTCAAAATCAGTCCCTTTCATGGCTGCAGAGCGCGAACTTGCAGAGATGGATGTAGGGACGGAGAAACAACTGGGCTCTGTTTCTCCTTGGCTCAGCAGGAACGATTATTACACTCCACAGTCAGTGGAAGAATATTTCTTCCTTTGTTTAAAGGCCAAGGCAGGCAGTGATATATGAGGCTCAGCCACACAGAGTGAGAAGCAAAATACAAAGTATTTTAAAAGGTGGGGTTGAGTTCAAACCCCAGCTCTGCCACTTCCTAGCTGTGTGATCTTTGTACTTGTGAACTTGAACTTGAATCCCCTCCCCTATTCCAAGGGGCCAGGAGTACCTACTTCACGGGGTGCTGATGAGGATTAAATGAGATAGTGCATGGAGTCTGGCACAGGGCAGGCCGTTGATACATAATAGCTTTTATTTTTATTATCTGTGTCAGGTGGTGCCTGTTATGGCTTCTGAAATTACAGCCAGTCTTCTTTGACATCCCTTCTCCACTTTGAGTCTTCCAACTGAATTTTGTGGTTGGAATGTGTTTGTCTGTCTCTGGAGGTCTGGTGTTCTACTGAATCAGGCCACAGACTTCATTCCTTGGAGACACAGCGCTAGGATAATTGCTAAGAAATTGAGTTAGGGGCTGCTGTAGCTTTCTCAAGGTTGTCCAATTGTGCCTCTCTCATTTTGGGGCTGGGACTGCCTGGCTTTTTTCTCTATCTTCAAAAAGCTATGAGTGTGGGTGTGAGGTGAGTGCAGGGCTCGGCAGCTGCTCATGCCATTTGGAGAGGAGCCAGCGAGTGACGGGAGTGGCGCACACCCACGTTTGCCTGCTTTTGTCTGCCTACAGCTGCGAGAAGGAGCAGGGATCTCTCTCCTCAACTGTACCCTATTTGTACTGGTGGCCCAGCCCAGCTTGTGATAGTGACTTCCAGATCCTGACCCCAGCTTGATGTTCTTTGGCCTTATTTATTTACTTATTTATTTATTGAGATGGACTCTCGCTCTGTCGCCAGGCTGGAGTGCAGTGGTGCGATCTTGGCTTACTGCAAACTCTGCCTCCTGGGCTCAAGTGATTCTCCTGTCTCAGCCTCCCAAGTAGCTGGGACTACAGGCGCGCACCACCACGTCCAGCTAATTCTTGTATTTTTAGTAGAGACGGGGTTTCATCTTGTTGGCCAGGATGGTCTCGATCTCTTAACCTCGTGATCTGCCCGCCTCGGCCTCCCAAAGTGCTGGGATTACAAGCGTAAGCACCTGGCTTTTGGCCTTATTTTTGAGGTCTCCCTCTTTCCTCCAATAATGAAAACACTAGTAATAATATCAGGTCCCATTTTGTTTACTCTCTCACAAGATACTCGGCTATGGGGTCGGATAGACATAGGTTCATATGGCAGTGTGGCCATTTATTGGCTCTATGAATTTGACCCACATGATTCTGGCCTAAACCAGTGGTTTGCAAACTTTCCTATATAGTAGAATCACCTGGGGATGTTTTAAAAAGTCCTCCGCCCAGGCCATGCCCCTAATTACATCAGAATCTCTGGGATAGGACCTAGGCATTGGCATTTTTGCCTGCCACCAATGTGCAAGTGCCTGAGGATGGGTGAGCTGGCTCTCTAGGGTAGCCCCTGTGGCTCCGTGTGGGCCTCAGGCTAGCTGCATCAACACCACCTGGGAGCTTGTCAGAAATCCTTGACCTCAGGCCCCCCCACAGACCTACTGGATCCGAAGACCCAGGTGACTCCCCAGCATGTTAACATGTGTGCGAGAAGCGCTGGTCAGAGCGTCACTCTCCTTATCAATAAAGTGGGGGTCATAATGGTGCCCAAACCTGCCTGCTCATAGCAGTCACCTGGAATGCCTGATACACTATAGATTTATGAGGCCTCACCCCAGTCTTGCTGAATCAGAATGCCAGGGTGAGGGGCTGGGGATGTGTATTTGTACCATGTTCCCTGAGGTGATTCTTATAATCAGGCAAGTTTGAGAAATGCTGAGTTATAAGCCTCAAAGGATTACTGTCAGGATTAAATGATAAAATAGAGCTCTTGTTTTTGTTATTATTGTCACGTCTGGAGGATTTACTATCAAATGACACAATGCTAGCTGCTTTGTGCACGCTCTGAATGAGATAAATGTTATTGCCTCCATTTTGCGGAGAAAGAAACTGAACTTCAGAGGAGGAAAGTGACTTTCTGTAGGTCACACAGCTGAGGTATGACAGAACCAGCCCGACTCCGAAGTCTGTGCTCTTACCACTCCCTGCTACTGTGGAAATTTAGTTCATGCTTTTCTTTTCCTTGAGAAGAAAGTTCAGCTTTCAGCCAGGTATTAACATTGCAGATTCATCTTTCAGTTCACATACACACTCACTTGTTTTATTCATCAAATATTTACTGAGTAGCTATGATGGGTCAGATGCCACCTAAGCAGTGAGGGTACAGCAGTGAAAAAGACAAGTCCTGTTCATAGGAGCCTGCAGTCCAGTGAGGGAGACGGATGACACATGAGCTATCTCACTAGTGGTTGATTAGTTACAGTTGAGATGCAGGCTAGACAGACAGCACATTAGAAAAGCACAAGATGAGGGACCCTAACTTGCCTGTGGAGCCAGGGCAGGCTTCTCTGAGGAAGTGACTTGGATGCTGAGATGCAAAGGATGAGAAGGGGTGACCAGGTCTGAGGTGAGGGAAGTGAGCACCAGGCAGAGGGACTCTCTGGCTGATAGGAGCTGGAGTTTGCACGGACTGATAGGCTCAAGCTACCCACCTGACCCAGAGTTTTACTTACATGAATCTGGTCTTTATGCTGGTGCCAGAATGATCTAAAATACACATATTCCTGCTCCAGCTCTCTGACAACAATCCCTCAAAACTGCTTTCTCTGGCTGGATCAAGTCCCAGCACCTCGGCTGGGAATTCAAGGCCTGATATAGTTTGGATATGTTCCCCATCCATATCTCATGTTGAATTGTAATCTCCAGTGCTGGAGGTGGGGCCTGGTGGGAGGTGTTTGGATCGCGGGGGCAGCTCCTTCATGGCTTGGTGCTGTCTTCACGATAGTGAGTTCTCACAAGATCTGGTTACTTAAAAGCGTGTGGCACCTCCCCTCTCACTCTCTCTTTCTCTTGCTCCTGTTTTCACCATGTGAGACGCCTCGCTCCCCCTTTGCCTTTCACCATGATTGGAAGCTTCCTGAGGCCTCCCCAGCAGGAAGCTGCCATGTTTCCTGTACAGCCTGCAGAATTGTGAGCCAATAAAACCCCTTTTCTTATAAATTACCCAGTCTCAGGTATTTCTTCATAGAAATGGAAGAATATCCTAACATAAAGCCCTTTCTTGCCTCACCACTTCTATCTTGGATGATATATATCTCATACTTTAGCCATGTCCAACTAGGTAGAGTTTCGGCTATATTCTTTCGATGAGTCCGTGTCCTGTCATAAGCTATCCATACTGTCTGTCTGTCTGTCCACTTATCCGTCCATCTATCTATCCATCCATGCATGCATCCATTTCTGAGGAGGAGAGAGCTATTCTGCTTATTATTCGATACAGAGCTCAGATGTTACTTCTTCCACCATTCACCGGGCAGAGTTAGTTGACCCCTGATCTCTACTCCCATAGTACTATATTTTCAGTATAGCCAAGGCTGACTACGGACATACAGGCACCTGGGGCAGTATTTATCTAAGATAGACCAGATTATGCTGCAATATTACCACATTAGCCCTAAAACCTCAAAGGTTGAACACAACAAAAACTTGTTTCTTTTTTTTAAAAAACTATACTAGATAAACAACTACACTAGATAAAATTCATGTATAATAGTCACCCGTTTAAATTGTACTATCCAATGGCTTTTCGTATATTCACAGAGTTGTACCCCCATCACCACTATCTAATTTTAGACCATTTTTATCACCCCAAAAAGACACCTCTGTACTGGTTAACAGTCACTCCCTATTACCTCTCCCAGCATGGCCCTAGGCAATCACTGATCTACGTTCTGTCTCTGTCCTTGCCTATTGCGGACATTTCATATAATTGAAATTATAGATTATGTGGCCTTTTGTGTCCGGCTTCTTTTGCTGAGTGTAATGTTCTCAAGGTTCATTTATGTTGTAGCATGTATCAGTAGTTCTTTCCTTTTTATTGCTGAATAATACTCATTGTATGGATATACCATATTTTATTTATTTATCAATTGATGGATATTTGGGTTGTTTCACTTTGGGGCTATTATAAAAAATTTTATTTCTTGAGTGGTTGAAGTACACTGAGACCCCATCCAACACCCCAGGGCAGCTGTCTCCACGTGCTGACACTCAGGGCTCCCAGGTGGCTTCAGTTTTGTGGCTGTACCATCTCGACCTCTGCCTTCACTACAGCAGGGGAAGAGAGAAGCAACAGGAACCCACATTGCTCTTGGATGCTTAGGCCTGGAAGTGAAATGTGTCACCTCTGCTTACCACTGGCTAGATGGTCACATAGCCTTATATAAGCACCAGAGGGCTGGGCAGTGTACTCTTCCTATGTGCTGACAAAGAGGAAAAGGAGAAACGAACATGAGTGAGCACAAGTATTGATAATTATCCCAGGCAGGCTAATGATTTGGCATCCTTTCAAACCACTATTCTTCAAATGTTTGTTAATAGAGTATTTGGAGAAGGGGCTGAACATTGTGGGGTGTTAAGAACAGAAACAAATAGGACTCTTGGGACTCTTTGCAGTATTTAGTCTTTCTGTTGTCCAAGCAAAACACCTCTATATTAAAACTTACATCTCCATTCAGCAAACAAAAGGCCTACAGTTAATCTGAATGCTCCTTCCTAAAAGATGAGTTTTAGGGTCAGGAGCAGTGGCTCACACCTCTAGTCCCAGCAATTTGGGAGGCTGAGGCTGGTGTATCACTCGAGCCCAGGGGTTCAAAACCAACATGGGGCCAACATGGTGAAACCCCATCTCTACGAAAAATACAAAACTTAGCCAGGCGTGGTGGCACACACTTGTAGTCCCAGCTACTTGGGAGGCTGAGAAGGGAGGGTTAATTGAGCCCAGGAGATTGAGGCAGAGGTGAGCCTTGGTAGTGCCAATATACTCCAGGCTGGGTGAAGAGCAAGAACCTGTCTCAAAAAAAAAAAAAAAAAAAAAAGATTAATTTTAGAGTTCCATAAATCTCGGACCATTCTTCTTGGATGTTTTATCACCTACCTAAGTTCCTCAAAGAATTCTTCTCAACCACGTGCAGCATTCTCCTCAGAAGGAACTTCAGGAATGGTGTAGTACAGATAGCTAGCTGCCTACCCAACATTTATTCTCCTTTTCTATTTTACCCCTAATTTTAATTTAAAACTTTAAAGATAATTTAAAACTTTAGAGATGGGGTCTTGCTATACTGTCCAGGCTGGACTCAAACTCCTGTGCTCAAGTGATTTTCCCACCTCAGCCTCCTAAGTAACTGGGACTATAGGCATGTACCACCACACCTGGCCTTTCCTTTTCTTCTTTCTGAAAGTAGTACAGTACCAATAGCTAGCTGATTACTCAGTAACCATTCTCCTTCTTTTCCTTAATACCAGGACTCTGTTTTGGTTGAAAGTAATGATGTACCCATATGAAAAACTTTATTTCTTAGTCTTCCCTGAAGATAAGTGGCCAAATGACAGTACTTGATTGGGGCTTCCAGGAAAGATCTTTAAATGGCATTGACTATGCAGAGTCATCTCTTGTAATCTTGCTCATTCCTACTACTTGGAATATAGATGTGATGGCTAGCAGTACAGCATCAATCTTGTCACCATGAGGTGATTTTGAGAATGGAAGCCATGAGTTCAGCAAGACCGCCTGATGATGGAGCTACCACATCTGCCCTGAACTACTCACCTCCAGACTTCTTTTATGTAAGAGAAAGAGAAGAAAAATAAAAATATGTTTAAGGCACTGCAGTTGGGTCTCTGATACAACCAGTGTTATAGGCAGTCTTCAGCTCCAGGCTCATGGCAGAGGGAACAAGATAGAGAAGGGAAAGTAAAGATAAAGGATGGCAAGAATGGACAGGGACAAGACAAAGACCTGCATGCCAGGAACATGAAGGAAGAGTTGGACTGTGAAGGAAAGAGGAAGGAGGTAGGTAAAGATGGTGAATGAAGGCAGGTTAGTGGTTGGGGTGCTGATTCAGAATCCGATAGTGGTGAGTTTAACTCCTGGCTTCACCCATAACTAGCTTCATGTCCTTGGGCACATAGCAGGTGTTCAGTATAATAATAACAACAACAGCAAAGAGGTATGTAACATGTTTGATGCATCAGGGATTGTTCGAAGTGTTTTTCATATATTAACTCATTGAATCTGCACAACCCTATAGTACTCTTATCCCCATTTTCTAAATATCAAACTGTGATACAGAGACTTTAAGTAACTTGACCAAGATCACAGCTAGTAAGTGTCAGAGCCATGATTCAACCATCTGTGCTTGAAGCGACACACTATTATAAACTTTGCAAACTGATTGGAAACTCAAAGTTTGCTCATAAATCCACTTGGTTTAAGTCCACAGTGACACCATACAAGTGACTGCTTTGATTGACAGAGAACAGAGTTGTGACCTTGTGCACTGGCTTATTGCTGGCCTGAGTTCACAATAATGCAATAATAATAATGCATAATAATGGAGACTGACATTTCAAAAGTTGTTGAGCTTCTGTATCATGACAATTACTGTTACCGTGATTGAGCACATACTAAGCATTGAAAACCATGTGAGAAGCTTTGACATATGCTGCTGTGTAAATTATTAAATTAGTCCTATGACATAAGTAATAATGTTTTCATTGAACAGATGAAGGGTTTGAGGCCCAGAAAGTTGACACAACTTGCTGAAGGTATCATGGGTAGTAAGTGGTAGAATCAGAATCAGACTCTGGTGTAAATGAAGATAAAGCTGGAGCTCTTTCCACTGAGTGACACCTTGCCGTGGGTGGCAAGAAGGAAGGGCCGGGCAGAGAATGTGGGGGGAAGGACAGAGAACGGAGGAGGCAGGAGGGACATGGAGAGGGACGGGCAGTCAGTACCAGCTTAATGCACCTGACTCAATAGGGCTTGAAATGTGGGAAATGGGCCTTTTGTGCTTGTGCTTAATTAATTTTCCTAGCCTCTCTATCAACTTAACTGTGAAGTTTCATTTATAAGCTTCCTGATAGTTAACAGCAAATTGGTATCCTCCATCAGGTGATGGAATCTGGATACCTGCATTCTTTGTTGAGCATTGCCAATAATTTGCAGGTGCCTTGGAAAAGTCATTTGACATATGAGCCTTACCTTCTCCTAATATGAGGGCAAGATTATACAGAGGGCAAGGAGTTGGGAGAATCAAATGAGGCCGTATATTTCATTTCTGAATATTATTTATTAGTATTTAATTACATATAGCACTTACAAACACAATACTTGTCAATGGTGGAAAAATTAGCCTTGGCACAGTGGCTTGCACCTCTAATCCTAGCACTTTAGGAGGCCAAGACGTGAGGATCACTTGAGGACAGGAGTTCGAGGCTACAGTGAGCTATGATCTATGATTCTATGATCATGTTACTGCACTCCAGTCTAGACAACAGATGAGACCCTGTCTCTAAAAAAATAAACGATTTTGTAAGTGGAAAAATTTGGGATGTAGTAGTTCACGCCTATAATCCTAGCATTTTTGGGAGGTCAAGGCAGGAGGATCACCTGAGGCCAGGAGTTCCAGACCAGCCGGGGCAAGATAGTGAGACCCTATCTCTAAAAGAAAAAAAATTTAGCTGGGTTTGGTGGCTCATGTCTGTAGTCCTAGCTACTTGGGAGGCTGAGGTGAGAGGATCACTTGAGGCCAAGAGTTAGAGGCTGCAGAAAGCTACAATTGTGCCATTGCACTCCAGCCTGGGTGGCAGAACAAGACTCTGTCTCTAAAAACAAAAATAAAGTAGAAAATGAGAAGATACAGAGAAACAAGAAAAGCAATGTAAATATCCTTTGCGCTAGGTGTGGTTGACCGGCTAACCCAATGCCAACCTGCCCCTGGTTTTCCCAGCCTACCTTGCAGCTGGGGTGACCATGTGACCTAGTGTTGGCCAATAAGATAAAAATGTAAGGCCTTTGCTTTTCTAGTTCAAAAGAACAGATGGGGTTGGTGCCATCCCTTCCGCCTTGAATGTGAGATTTAACATGTTGAGTGGCAACCATCTTGAGACCTCGGGGAAAGGCCAAGGGAACCGCAAAGATGCTGGCCCTGACAATGTTGCGTTGCTGAGCCAATGCCAGCAGCTGCCTACCTCCAGACTTACTGTGCCAGAAGAATAAACTCTTGTTATTTTAAGCCACTGCTAGTTGGGTTCTCTGTAATTTCCACCATAACTGTTACCTTAATATACTCCCAGCATCCCAAGATCATAACTGCTGACACCTCATCATGTATCTTTTCAGATCTTTTCCACTGCACAGGCAGAAGGAAAATATTTTGAATTATTAAGAGGTTATTTCCTTCTAACACATGTTACCTTGTATCTTTTGTGTTTTACACCCACCATTCGGGCCTTTTAAGGTACTGCCCATAAGGACAATAAAGAGTCTAGAAAAACAAAAGGCCAAATTCTTAGTTACTCATAAAATGACTTGAAAACCTATAGCATGGGCATAAGTTTGGAAGCCAAAGTACTTCTTATTCACAAAAGCCAGGATTTTTTTTGACAGAAATTGTTTATCTCCAGATTTGCAACAGCCTGACTTGGTACAGAAAAGAGCAAACGTGGAAAACTTAGAGCACAGCGTTTGTAAGATAAACCCCAGAATGAAAAAGAAAGAAAAAAAAGACAGAGAGAGAGATAAGAGTAGGAACGTCTGGAGAGGAAAGGCAGAATTAGACAGATGAGACCACAGCTGACGCATTGCCTAGGTTCTGAAAAGGGGCTCGGAGCACTGCCCCACACCTGAGAGTGGGAGTGGACACTGGGCGTCCTAAGCAGGTTTAGCGAGAATACAAAAGCAGAAGGAACTTGAACCTTTCTTCCCAGGATGCAAGTTCATTAAAGTTGCTCCATGTCAAATCTGGTACACTGAAGGGCAAAATAGCCATTGATTGGGCAAGGCTGAAGGCATACTTTCAGATGTGGAAAAGCATCTAAAAATTTCTCATGGACCCCTACGATGGATACCAAACAAGCTGAGAATAAATTGTGACAAGGTAAATCAGGAGCGCATAGACATCTCAACTGGCAGCCAGGGCAGGACCACAGATATTAGCAGCAGATGCCAGTGCTTCATGGTGGGAACCAGGTAAGATAATGTGTAGAGGCCAGGGAAGAACAGGCAGCAGCACAGGCACCAGATGCTGCTTCTCTGGATTCTAGGATGATGCATCTGTCCACCGAAGAGCTAAAATCACCCAGAGAAGGATTAGAAAATGGGAGGATTATGAACTGATCTTTTATTGATTGATTGATTGATTGTTTTGAGACGGGGTCTCGCTCTGTTGCCCAGGCCAGAGTGCAGTGGCACAATCTCAGCTCACGGCAGCCTCAATCTCCCGGGTTCAAGCCATCCTCCCACCTCAGCCTCCCAAGTAGCTGGGACTACAGGCATGCACCACCACGCCCGGCTAATTTTTGTATTTTTTTGTTAGAGATGGGGTTTCACCATGTTGCCCAAGCTGGTCTTGAACTCCTGAGTTCAAGCAATCCGCCTGGCCTCCCAAAGTGCTAGGATTACAGGCGTGTGCCACCATGCCTGGCCTGAACTGATCACTTTAAGTCAGGAAACGTCTGAATTTACTTTAAGCTGCAAATTTGTTTTCTACAATCATCAGGAATGTGATATAGTAGCCTAAGATAAGTTCAATTTAAATTAATAAATAAAGCTATTTTTTGGACACCCAAGTGTGCATTCTGTGTATTTTAGCCCACTACCATGCATGCTTACATTGATAACATATATGCAATTTTTCCAATATGGAAGAATGGTGTACATACTCTTTTATAAATTTCTGTTCCCTCAAAATATTGTGAACATCTTTCTATGTTTACAAATAGTAATTTTAATACAGATCGAGTATCTCTTATACCAAATGCCTGGGACCAAACATGTTTTGGATTTTTTTATTTTTTTTCAAATTTTGGAATATTTGCATTATACCTACCAGCTGAGCATCCCAAGTCCAAAAGCCTCCAATGAGCATTTCCTTTCAGCATCATGTCAGTGCTCAGAATATTTAGGATTTTGGAGCATTTCAGGTTTTGGGTTTTCTGACTTGTGATGCTCAACCTGTAGTGATTCTTCAACTTTCTTGAAACCCCTTTGAGAGTCTGATAAACATTATATTCTCAGAAAAAGGCACATATACACCCACAGAAAAATGTCTGTAGGTACTTGTTTAAGAACGCAAGTTTAAGAAGTGCTTGTCTGCAATGCAGTTTTCAATAATTGAATAGTATACAATATATGGCCACCCTATAATTTATTTCATCAACCTCCTTTTGTGCACATTTAGACTGTTTCCAGTTTTTCCCCATTATAGGTAATCTCTATGATAAACTTCTAGAACTAGAATTGTTAATTATATTAGCATGTTTCCACTGTAGGTAACAGGATGCCCAAGTAACAGTAGTTTATATTTCTCACATAACAAAAGATTCAGAGGAAGCAGCCCAGTGCAGACTCAATAATACCATTGAGAACTCATACTTTTGCTGTCTTTCTGCTCTGCTGTGCTTAGTTTTTTGTCTTGTCACCTCATAACTACAAAATAGCTGCTGCAGCACCATGTATCACATCTTTTCTCAAGGCAGGATGAAGTGGGGAAAGACAATACTTTTTATCAAGAAAGCAGACTTTTGCATAAATCTCAATAGCCAGAACTAGGTCACGTCTTGAGGCAGCAAAAGTAAATATTTTTTTCGAGCTTTTTTTTTTTTTTTAATTGAGATGGAGTCTCACTCACTCTGTCACCCAGGCTGGAGTGCAGTGGCACAATCTCGGCTCACTGCAACCTCCACCTCCAGGTCCAAGGGATTCTCCTGCCTTAGCCTCTCGAGTAGATGGGACTACAGGCACATGCCACCATGCCTGGCTAATTTTTCATATTTTTAGTAGAGATGGGGGTTTCACCATGTTGGTCAGACTGGTCTCAAACTCCTGACCTCAAGTGATCCGCCCACCTCGGCCTCCCAAAGTCCTGGGATTACAGGCATGAGCCACCACGCCTGGCCTTTTCCAGGCTATTTTAATATAGGCAGTGAAGGGAAAAGAGTACTGGTGGTGGGTTTTTGGTTAATCAGTCTGTTACATAGGGCCCGACTTTCTAAGCATTTTAAGGGAGTCTATCTGCAGAGGCAACAGACTTGAAAGGGCTTTAAAAACCAAAAAATTCTGTGCAAATGTGAGCTATATAATCTCCTGGAAATAATGCTGTGTTTTCTCAGCACATTGAATATGTAGTGTAACTGCTGATCCCCGGGCGACTGCCTTCCTAATTGACCACCTCTGTTCAGAGGTGGTTAAAACACTCTTTTTACAAAAACAGTTTCTCCATACCCAGTGACCAAATTGCTTGTTTAGACCCTGTTGTGACATTCCAGTCACCTCCTACAGGGTGTCAGGGAAACAACATTAAGCATGGGGTCCAAAGACCTGAGCTTATTTCTTAGCTCTGCCACCTGACCACAAGGAAGGCATTTATCTAGGCCTTGGATTCCTTACCTGTAGGATGTGAGTAATAACTTCTACTTTACAGCATTGCTGGAGGGACAAGATGAGATTATGGATGAGAAAGTGCCAGGAAGTGAAATATAGATGTTGGTGGTTGTTGTTGTTTAACAGTCATTCTAGTTTGTTGTTGAGTTTTTTTTTTTTTTTTTTTTTTTTTTTTTTTTTGAGACAGGGTGTCACTCTTGCCTAGGCTGGAGTACAGTGGCACTATCACAGCTACAGCTCACCGCAGCCTCCAACTCCTGGGCTCAAGTGATACTCCCACCTCAGCCTCCCAAGTAGCTAAGACTACAGGTAAGCACAGCCACACTTGGCTGAATTCTAAATTTTTTGTAGAGACAGGGTCTTGCTATGTTGCCCAGCCTGGTCTGGAACACTTGGCCTCAAGCAATCCTCCTGCCTTAGCCTCCCAAAGTATTGAGATTATAGACATGAGTCACCACCCCTGGCCAGCAGTCATTCTTGCTGGACGTTTTGGGACCTATTGAATCAAGGTCAGGACCTGTGATTTGCTGGTAAACTGATTCTCCAAGGAGGAAAATGTGCCTTGATCTGTGGCATTTCATGATATCCGTGGGATAAATATTCTGACCATGGCTGATATCCAGCTACCGACGGTTTAACAACCAGTCATGAAATTCCCAAATATTTAACACTTCATCTCGTTAGCTAATATAAGTCAGTTCTAACACACCCAGAGCACAAAATCAACCACCCTCTACTGAAGTGTCCTGAATCGGTTTATTGGCTTATCTAACCAAGACATTCAGGACTAGTTCTGGCTTCATGCAAGCCTGAATCCAGGTGCTCACACAATGTAACCAGGAACTCAGGCACGTTTTCCCCTCAAGGTGGCAAAATGGCCAGTAGCAGTTCCAGTTTAGCAACCCTGGTGGAAAAAAAAGCACTTCTTTCTCTCTCTCTTTTTTTTTTGGGGGGGGGACAGAGTTTTGTTCTGTCACTGAGGCTGGAGTGCAGTGGCATGATCTCAGCTCACTGCAACCTCCGCCTCCTGGGTTCAAGCGATTCTTGTGCCGCAGCCTCCCGAGTAGCTGGGATTACAAGCGCATGTGCCACCATGCCTGGCTAATTTTTTGTGTTTTTAGTGGAGACGGGGTTTCACCCTGTTGGCCAGGCTGGTCTCAAACTCCTGACCTCAGGTGATCTGCCTGCCTTGGCCTCCCAAATTGCTGGAATTACAGGTGTGAGACATTGTGCCTGGCCTTCATTCTTCATAGTCCCAGTAAAGTTCCTATGAATCACTCAGATTGCCAGCTGCAGTCATGTGCTAATCACTGAACCAACCATGGTAAACCAGAGAATATGGTACAGGCAATGGCCGGATCTGAGCCATGTGCTCATTCCTGGAGCTTGAGATGTGGCCCACCCATCCAAACTACATAAGCCAAGAATGAATGAGGCTGGTTCCCCAAAGGAAAAGTGTAATTCTATTACCAGAAGCAGCGAGGATTGTGGCGGTTAATTTTATGCGTCAACTTGTCTGGGATAATGGATGCCCGGATATCTGGTAAGACATTATTTCTAGGTGTGTCTGTGAGGGTGTCAATGGAAGATATTATTTAAATTGGTAGACTGAGTAAGAAGATCACCCTCACCAATATGGGTGGGTGTCATCTAATCTAGTGAGGGCTTGGATAGAACGAAAAGGCAGAGAAAGCGTGATTTTGCCCTCTCTCTCTCTCTCTGAGATAGCAATCTTCCCCAGCCTTTGGGCATCGGTGCTCCTGGTTCTTGGCTTTCAGACTCAGACCAGGGCTTCCACCATTGGATCCCCACTCTCAGGCCCTCAGGCTTGGACTGAATTACGCCACCAGCTTTGTTGGTTCTCCAGCTTGGAGACAGCAGTTCGTGGGACTTCTCAGCCTCCATAACTGCATGAACCAATTCCTATAATAAATCTCCTATTCTATCTATCTATCTATCTATCTATCTATCTATCTATCTATCTGACTATCATCTATCTATCCTATTGGTTCTGGTTCTGTGGAGTGCCCTGACTAATGCAGGGCAGATGTTCACTCCAACTCTGATGTGTTCCCATTGTCCTGGGGAGGTGTGTCTGTCATGAACAACAGGAGATCCAAATATAGCTCAAGCATCCCTCGGCTTCATCAGCAGGTGGTTCCCAAGGAGGTCATGTTCACATTCATACACAGATTTTCTTCATTATGAAACACTGCTTTTCAAGATGGCCCCTGTGCTAATTCTGAAGGTCCCTCCAGGACACATCCACACAGCCTCGCAAATCAGTCTGGGCTACTGCTTCCAACAAAACTGCTCAACCCATGCCCTGGTGTTCAATGCTACGTTCCAGGGCCATGAGATGAAAAAGCCATAGGCCCTGCTTCCTGGAGCCCACAGTTGAGCTGGAAGATGAGACGGGTGGTAAATACTGTATATTAAACACTTACTATATACCAGGCATTTTACGGGTCTTTTCTCCTTTAAACTTTGCAATCACCTTTGGAGGTATGGATTATGACATGCACTTTACACATGACAGAACTGGTGGCTAAAAATACTGTCCAGGCTAGCGTGGCTGGGAAGTGGTAGACCCATGGTTCCATGATCAGCTCTTCTGATGTTCAGTCGAGGAGTCTAGTTCTCATCTCCCTCTCTACCTCCTGACCAGAGTCAAATCGAATTCAGTTTAGTACTAGTCCCAAGCCTAAAACAGTGCTCCCCTCACAAGAGGTGTTCCATTCAAGTCAATCGAGTCTAAGATTTAGTCTGTACCTGTTCCTCAGAGGGCCACTGGTCTCAAGGGGTCAAATTCATTCACCTAGACCAGTGTTACGGGTTGAATTGAGTTCTCCCAAAATTCACATGTAGAAGTCCTAATCCCCATACTGCAGAATGTGGCTCAAGCCTGTAATCCCAGCACTTTGGGAGGCCGAGGCGGGTGGATCACAAGGTCAGGAGTTCAAGACCAGCCTGATCAACATGGTGAAACCTTGTCTCTACTAAAAATACAAAAATTAGCCGGGTGTGGTGGTGCACGCCTGTAATCCCAACTACTCAGGAGGCTGAGGCAGGAGAATCACTTGAACCCGGGAGGCAGAGGTTGCAGTGAGCCGAGGTTGCGCCACTGCACTCCAGTCTGGGTGACAGAGCGAGACTCCGTCTCAAAAAAAAAAAAAAAAAACAAAAAAAGAATGAGACTGTGTTTTGAGATGGGGCCTGTAAATAGGTAACTAAGTTAAAATGAGGTCATTAGGGTGGACCCTAATTCACTGGGACTGGTGTCCTAATAAGAAGAGAAAATCTGGACACAGACACAAGTGGGGAAGACCACGTGGAGACCAGGAGAAGATGGCATCTACAAGCCAAGGAGAGAGGCTTCATAAGGAACCAACCCCGCCGAATTTGATCTTGGACGTTTTGTCTCCAAAACTGTGAGATACCGTTCAAGCCACTCAGGCTGTGATTCTTTGTTATGGCAGCCTAGCAAACAAATACAGTCAGGAAGTTTTGGGAAGAAGAATGTCTTTTTGATTATTTTTTCTTTTTTTATAGAGACTGGGTCTCCCTATGTTGCTTTGGCTGGTCTTGAACTTCTGGGCTCAAGTGATCCACCCGCCTTGGCCTTGGCCTCCCAAAGTGCTGGGATTACAGGAATGAGCCACCATGCCCGGCCTATTGATTTTTTAGAAGTTGAGGTGTTTGAGGCCAGCCTGGGCAACATAGCAAGAACTTGCCTCTACAAACAATTAAAAAATTAGCTGGATGTGGTGGGGCATGCCTGTGGCCCTAGCTGCTCTGAAGGCTGAGGCAGGAAGATGGCTTGAGCCTGGGAGGGTGAAGCTGCAGTGAGCCGAGGCCACACCACTGCACTCCAGCCTGTGTGACAGAGAGAGACTTTGTCTCATAAATAAATAAATAAATAAAATAAACAATTGAGTAGGTAACACACATACATTCAAAAGGCATAAAGCCTCCGTCCTGCCTATGCTCTACCCCCACTCAGAGTACCTCCTGCGACACAAGTGGTTACCAGTCTCTCATGTCTTCTTCCAGAAATATTTATTCTTTCTTTCTTCACAAACACACATGTATGCTTAAATTATTTTTTCTCACCCCATACACACAGTTCTGTACCTCGTGTTTTTGTTTAATAAAACATCCTGAAGATCCTGCAAGAATGACTTTAACGAAGCAGGTTTGGAAAGTTGGAGAAAGAAATACCCTGGTGAATCACCAACACGACTGAAAAATACAAGCAATGCATTAAGACAATACAGCCAGCCTGCTCAGGTTTTTCAGCCTGCTGCATTCTGAGGAGCAGGGAGGAGAGGTGTCAGAAGGAGGTGGATGGGTACTGCCTAAATCTTTAGCAGGCTGGGGAGGAGCCTGGGTCTCTCAGGAGGGCAAACCTTTGGTTTCTCACTCCCTTCTTACTGCTCCACTCTGCCCTCCTCTCCCCCACACACAAAGTAGGTCAGCGTGAGAGATGCTGCCTCCAGCGAGCAAGAGGGAGATGGTCCATGCTGAGTGGGAGGGCACGATTCGGGGCCCATATTGGGATGCCATCTGTAATTGTAGACTCTCAGAGCTGGAGGAAATCTTAAAGATCATCCTGTGTAATTCCCTCCTTTTGCAGATGGAGAAGCTGAGCCCAGAGGGAAAAAAGAACTTTCCTTAGGTCACATAGCCAGGTGGGGACAGAGCAGGGACTACAGCATGGGTGTCCTACCTTTTGGCCAGTGCTCCTTTTATGTCATCACAGTGCCTCTGCTGGTTCTGAAATCTTTGTCAAGATGCCCAGCTTTTACTTTGCCTCCTTTGTCATCCCCTCTGCAATTACAAATAAGAGAATAGACCACGAAGTCAGGCAGCCTGGGTTTCAGTACTGGTTCCACTCACTAGCTGTGTGATGTGGAGAAGTTAATTAGCCTTTCTGTGCCTCAGTTTCCTCTTCTACAAAGTGAAGAGTATGAGAATATCTACCCCTTAGAATTGTTGACAGGGCAGCCATGTTGCACAGGTCCAAGGGCCAGCATTCACAGTACTGTCCATAATATAGACAATATATTGTGGTGCCCCCTGGAATTGTGCAGTGCACAGCTTGGGAGGCTGTATAGAGTAGTTCTGACTGAAGAGAGTTAAATGAGATCATGCTTGTCAATTCATTTGCATACTAAGAGCTCATTAAATGTTGGCTATTATCATCATCATTTTATTGTCATCACAAAGAACCAATTGTTTTGTCTTCAGAAGCAGCAAAGAATAGGAGATGTGAGAAGAAAAGTCCTATTTTCTTGTTTCATTTGTCTAATTTAAGGTAATAAGCATTCGGTACAGAAAACCTGGAAAATGTCTAAAAGAACAGACAACAAAAATCACAATCCCACCAACCGGAAATAATCTCTTTGACATATGGTATATGTTTTTCTAGACTTTTTTCTCTGCCTGCTTTTTTCACTTACTGATACATTGGAAACACTTTCCCAGTCAGTAAATTTTCTGGCCAGGCGCGGTGGCTCATTCCTGTAATCCCAGCACTTTGGGAGGCTGATGCAGGAGGATTGCCTGAGCTCAGGAAGTTTGAGACCAGCCTGAGCAACATAGTGAGACCTCATCTCTACTAAAAATGAAAAAAATCAGCCTACTCTGGAGACTGAGGCTGGAGTATCACTTGAGCCCTGGATGTAGAGGCTGCAGTGAGCTATGAAGGTGCCACTACACTCCAGCCTGGGTGACAGTGCCAGACCCTGTCTCAAAAATTGTTTTTTCATTTACAACATCAGTTTCAATGAAAGGACTGCAGCATAGTGATTAAGAACATAGATGCTGTGTCCAGGTGGCCTAGTTTCAAATGTCAGCTCTTCTGCTTACCAGCTGTGTGATCTTGGGCACGAGAGTTAACCTGTGTTTCAGTTTCCTCACCTATAAAGTGTGTCTATAATATTTACCCTGTGGGATTGTTGTGACAATTAAGTGAGTTAACATATGTAAAGTTCCTAGAGAAGTACTTGGTAGAGTGACATGTTATTGTTATTAGATTCATTTTTTGGATATCCTACCATTTGTGAATCTGGTCTCCTACTGTTGGTCTTTTAGGTCATTTCGTTTTCACTGCCACAAATAATGTGGCCACAGATATTCTCAGCCATGTGTCTTTGAGCACACCCATGATTATTTTATAAAAATAAATTCCTAGAAAATGGAATTACTGGCTAATATAAAATATATGTACCAAAATATTCAAAATTTGTGCCAATTTACATTCTGGCAACATTTGAAGGGACAGGAGAGCATCATGAGTCCCTGGGGTCTTGAGAAGCAGAACAGGGACACAGTTTGTGACTAGGAAATGTGTTTTAGTTGGTGGGGGATCCACGTAGTTCCCTGGAGATGATATTCACATCTTTGTCCTTTGTAGCCCAATACATTGTTTCCCAAATTTCAATTGTTTGAGTACCATCTTCATGATTTTTTTTGTTTCCAAAAACCATCTATACCATAATATATTTAATATTTTAAAATACATCTGCTTTTTAAAAAAACATGAATACATTTACTTTAAAAGAACATTTTCAATTACTAGTATAAATGGAAAACCAGAATCACCTGCCATAAAAGGAAGTAACTGTGAGAATAAATACAACGCAAGCAAAATGTTATTAAATTGTAGCTAGACACTGTTGCTCGGCAAGGCTCTGAGCTCCAGGCCATGGACTTTGCATTGTTAGAGAGGTAGAGAAGGGAATTAGTAAATGAGCAAGAGCTACAGGGGTGTTAAAGACTTACTAGCACCAAGCTGTCGCTTTCTCTTTGGTATAGTCGAAAGAATCAACAGAGAATTGAAGAGAGATTTAATTTTATTTGATTTGTCTTTGCAGAGTGGGGAAGATGGGGTGGCAGGGGCATGTGGTTTTATGTTGAAGGACCTGTGAATTTTCCTACTAAAATTATCTCTATAACTATCATTTTCCTTACTTTAAGAAACATCAGCCAATATTGCCTCACTGAAAAACAGCTTCCTAGGTTTGAAAGAACTCTTTACGGCACAAGTTCATGTAATCTTCACAATAACCTGATCAAAAAGGTGCTGTAATTATCACCTCCATTTTACAGATGAGAAAATGAAAGCATAATAGAGTTAATTAACATGCCCAAGGTTGGTACAGCTAATCAGTAGCACAGCTGAGATTTGAAACGCAGGTATTCCGGCTCCAGAGTCCAAATGGCTCCTGATTTCTGTATTACACTGTCAATGGGTGGGGCCATGACCAGATATTGGCTGCATCCCTCATCCTTCACTCTCATAGCTATAAGCTATATTTAGACAATGAGACTCTCCTTGGACTCCCTTAACCCTGCCTGATAATCGGTTTCTCACGTTGCCAGTTTGACTCTACTTTGACCTTGACCTTATTTTGTTACCTGGAATTGGTGACTCTGAGACACTGAAACCCTCTGCTGGTACTGATGGCTGAAGGTCTTCTTGCACCAAGGATGCTTGGGTCTAGAGATATTATATTTGCATGAGCCTTATGGGGGCTAGGGTGGAGGGGTAAGTGACTTTGCCAAGTGTTACAGAGTGAGTTACTGTCAAAGCTTGGACTAAAATCCAGATCTGCTGACTCCTCCTTGAGTGTCCTATTCACCACACCTTTGGCTTTCTTAAGTTACATGAACAGTTTACCTTCATAACCATTGTCTTGTTTATTTTTCCCTGCAATTTGGGAGATAGATAGGTATTATTGTGAGTGCTTTATAAATGAGGAATCTGAGGCTATGTTCAAGGTCATGTAGCTAATAAGTGGCAGAGCCTCTTGCATACATTAGAGGACATTCTGTCAGAGAGGGGCATGATTAGGACTAGAACCCAGTCCTGTCTGGCTTTAAGTCCAGATCTCTTCCCACAAAGTGCCCCAACATCCACTTTCGCCCTTTAGTGCCCTAGGTCCTGACACTATCTCCAATTTTCTAAGATTTTAAACCTTATCTCTTTTCTAAAAGGGATGGGGGAGTAGTGCCAAGTATGAGTGACTCATACTAAAGTGTGAACGACTACCTGGCCTCATATGTTTCCCCATCTGGGTCTGCTGGCACTTAGAGAGGTTGTTCTCTAGTGCAACCAAGGAATTCACTCCTGCATTAGTAATCTACTGCTACACAACAAATCAACCCCAAAACTTAGTGGGTTGAAATAACAATAATCCATTTCTTATAATCCATTTATTATAATCTCACAGTTTCTATAAGACTAATGCAGAAAAGGCAGAGAGAAGGCATGACTGTACTTCACAATGTCTCAGTCCTCAGCTGGGGGCAGGAATCACCTGAAGGTTCACTCACTCACACATTTCTGCCTCATCTCACTGGTTGAGGCAGTGCCAAAGGTCCAGCAAGTTTAGAGGGAAGGAACATAGGCCCCACTTCTCAATGGAGAGATGTTGATGTCATCCTATAAGAAGAACTTGAGGCTGGGAGCGGTGGCTCATGCCTGTAATCCCAGCCCTTTGGGAAAATGAGGCAGGCTGATCACAAGTTCAGGAGTTTGAAACCAGCCTGGGCAACATGGTGAAACCCCGTCTCTACTAAAAATACAAAAATTAGCCCTGCATGGTGGCGGGCAGCTGTAATCCCAGCTACTCAGGAGGCTGAGGCAGAATTGCTTGAACCCAGGAGGCAGAGGTTGCAGAGAGCCGAAATCGCACCACTCCACTCCAGCCTGGGCGACAGAGCAAGGTCCCATCTAGAAAACAAAAAACAAAAAGCAAAACAACAAACTGTGAGGTTGATATTTGTGCAGCCGTCTTTGGAAAATACAATCTGGCACAACTCTCTAATGATGGGATTTCATGCACAAGTCATGAACAGATTTTTGGGCAGTGGGGGCTCCTCTTGATGTGGCCCCGATGAGACCCCATTTGGGGTTGTTCTCCAGCTGCCTGCATTCAGAATTCTGCTTTTCTCTGCATTTATGCTGCAATTGTTCTGTAATCCATTTTTCTCAGAAGGCTCAGACAGCCCTCACTGCTGATAGGCAGGGGTGTGATCCTGCTGCCAAGAGGACCCGACATTGACAATAAACAGCAATAAAAGTGCCGGTCTGCTTCTGTGCCGTCAGATGGAGCCCAGCCAGTCATGACTAGAAAGTTTCGTATTTTGAAGTAGGACTTCCCTGTGCCCATGAGGAGCCTAAAGACTGAAGGTGGGTCAGATCCTGGGTGAGGGAGTGTATGTGCTGCTGGTGAGGGATATCAAGATCTGTCCAGCGATCTAGAATTTCTCTATGGGGGCTTTAGAAGCAGCAATCTGGCTGGAAGAAGGAATTAGAAGTTCCATTTGCATAACACTTGACATATGCTTGAGAAAGCATTTGTTGTTGGTTTCAAAGATCCAGGAGTGAAGGCTTACTTGGTTTGGATCTGACCAGAAGAGGACTCTGAGACAAAGACTTGGGGATGGGAAAGTGACACAAGTAAGGGAAAGCAGGCATCAAGGGTACAACATCAAGCTAGCTACCACCGTGGGAGAGAGAAGCTTATCCCTCTGGGGAAACTACGGAAGTCAGTGTAAAACCCTTGCCTCAGAGTTATCCCACCCAACAGTTGAAAAAGCTGGGGTATTCGTCAGCACTTTGGGAGGCCGAGGCAGGCGGATCACAAGGTCAGGAGATCGAGACCATCATGGCTAACAGAGTGAAACCCCGTCTCTACTAAAAATACAAAAAAATTAGCTGGGCGTGGTGGCGGGCGCCTGTAGACCCAGCTACTCGGGAGGCTGAGGCAGGAGAATGGCGTGAACCCGGGAGGCGGAGCTTGCACTGAGCCGAGATCGCGCCATTGCACTCCAGCCTGGGCGACAGTGTGAGACTCCGTCTCAAAAAAAAAAAGCTGGGGTATTCGTACTCCTGTTGCTATGAGGGATGTGCCAGTAAAGCAGGGTTAATCCCAGCCTGCTGTTCTGAGTAGAGTAGGCTCCCATGGCTTTGGAGAAAGCCCAGAGACACAGAGAAGCAGGTACTGGTAGCAGGAAGGTGGAACACACCCAGTGGCAAGGAAGGTTGACAATGTGTGCTCCAGATGACAACTGTCTCAGTGTGCCCCATACCAAGGGGCTTCCTGGGATGCGGGACTTTCCGTTTTAAAACCAGGAATGTCCCAGACAGACCAAGATGAGGCAGTCACCCTAGCTACAAGGGCAAAGCAGCATGGGGAACTAAAGCCCATCCATCACCCAACCTACTGTCTGAAAGGAAGGATCAAAAAAGGACTTAAAAATGATAAAAGTGTTCCGGACTTAGACAGTGATGATGGTTGCATGTTGTACAATTTTGTGAATATACTAAAAACCACTGACTTACATACTTTAAAAGGATGAATTTTATGGTATGTGAATTATATCTCAATAAAAATGATTCACATAAAGACGGACATGCAGATCAATAGAACAGAATTGGGAATCCAGAAATAAACCCTTATTTTTATGGTCAATTGATTTTGATATGTCATTGGATTTAGACTCCACTGGTTAATCCAGGATGATCTTATCCTAAGTTCCTTAACTTAATTACATCTGTGAAGACCCCTTTTTCAAATAAGATCACATTCATAGGTTCTGGGGATTAGGACATGGACATATATTTTTTTGGGGCCACCATGCAATCCACTACAACTCCTGTTTTACAGGTAAGGAAACCGAGTCACTTGCTAAGGCAATACAACTAGTGATAGCAGGTAGAGATGTGAACCTAGGCAGTCTGTCTCCAAAGCCCGTGTTCTTAACCACCCAGAAATGAAGGGACAAGACCACATAAGATTTCTCCAGCTGATGGTAAAAGATGGACGGGCTCTGACCACAGCCTGGAGGCCAACTCCTTAAATCCAGCCCCTGCCTCCTTTCCTGAACTTACCTCCTTTGTCCAATTTCCCCTCAATTACCCTCTGCTCCATCAGGCGGTCTGTGGCCTGTAACATTTGTTGGAGAAGTGAGAAATGAAAATGGTCATGACAGTAGTAGATTTTTGCTTAGCAGGGGAGACTGACAGGTGAATCTTGAGACTGTAAAATCAGGCATGGCTCAATGAAAGAACATGGGATTGGAGTCCAACAGATCTCGGTTCACATTGTGGCTTTGCCACTTACTTGCTCTGAGACCTCAGCCAAGTTACTTAATCCTTTTGAGCCTCTGTGTTCTCATTTCTTAAAGAGAGAGAGAGAGAAGACCTATTTCAGGGTGCTGTTGCAAAGATTCAATGCTTCCAGTTCTACCATCATGAGTTTTTCTGAATTCTTCACTCTGCTCACCAGTGTAGACAAGCCTAAGGAAAACAAAATGATGGGGCTGAGCTGATTGAGAATTTCTCTGAAGATAGCAACATCAGTTTGGGAGAAAAGAGCTTATTTCAATGAGCCTCCATTAGCCAGAAGGAGGAATGTTTTGGCTGAATATCAAACATTCTCTCTTGCTCTTTCAGCACACACAGAGCTGCTCCTGGGTGGAATCCTGTATCACTGCCATCACCTGCCTGGCTTCCTGCCTTCAGATCCTTCTCATACCCACAGCTGAGATCCCTGTCACCCATCCCCTGCAGGCTCAAAGCCACCCCTGCAATCAGGCAGAATTTAAGGAGACCGAGGACAGAGAAGTACCATGGTTACCAATGAAATACCATTTCACGGCTTACATTTGTTGTTTATTTACTACACACCAGATATGTTAAGAGTTTCATATGCACATTCTCATTCACTCCTCCCCGCAAACTTATAAGGTAGGTACTATTATTATTCTCATTTTCCTGATAATAAAACTGAGACCCGAGAAAGTTATATAAATTGCCAAAGCCCCCTAAGCCATAGCTGAATGGATCAAGATTGGACAGCTGACCTGAGGTGGACCACTCAGATTCTCTCTCCAAGAAATTTGGAATTGTATTTGAGAGACAGATAGTCTCTGCTGGTCACTCAAAATGAAGACATAAACTAGGCAGCTGTGGGGTGGTTATTAATGGTATACACATAGCAGAAAAGCCATTCTGTAGGTGTAGAGAGAAGGAATTAGGCAGATGGAGAAAGAAACAGAAAAATGGGCCCTTGGAGAAAGAGTGTGAGCAAAGGACTGGCTCTCTGGATTCCCTGGTTATACTTCTTGCCTCTATTAGTTAAGACTCCAGGAAATAAGTGATAGAAATATAACTTCTATTGGCTTAAATGAAAAGGAATCCACAGACACTAAAAATAACAGCTTCAGCCATAGCTGGATCCGATGTTCAGTGTTGTCGGGAACCCGTCTCTATTTCTTGGATCTACTTCCTTCTGCGTTGGCGTCAGCTTCAGGCAGGCTCTTTCTTCAAGATAGAAATATGGCTGCTGGAGGCCCCACACATAGATTCTTACACTTTCATGCCAGGCAGAGAGTCTAGAAGTTCCAAGGAAGGTCTCACCATTGAGCCACTGGTTGGATTGGGTCACATTCCCAAATCTAAGGCTATTACTGTGTTTGAGGAGATGGAATGCTTGATTGGCCAGATGTGATTCAGGGGTTGGGATTGATTCCACCTGAATCACATGAACTGAGAGCAGGGAAAGGTGGCTCCCCAAAGGACAACCATAGTGCTATCATCAGAGAAAGGAGGACTGGCCATAGGACAATAAATACCACGGGTGTTTATACACGCTGTTCTATTCTTATAAAACATTTCTTTCCTTTTCTTTGGCTGGCTTACAATGGTTTTGAGGAGGATTCTGTTATTTGTAACTTAAAGCAGGCTTGATTGACAGAGCTAGATTTCTACCATATGCTTTCAGCTGTCTTGCCCTACAATCTGGCACCATTCTCCCAGCCACAGCCCCAATGACCTGTCGTACCTGCCTTTATACCTAATTATAGTCACAGCTAAAGACTGCTATATTCTTTCTGTTCATACCAGCGTGGTGCAGACCAGCATCATGGAGGCTTGGTGGAGAGGGAAGAGCCTCAACATTGAAAGAGCTTGGGTTCTTGAGCCACCACTTACAGGACGACCTAGCAATCAGAAATACACACATTGGGCTAAATGTACACAAGAAGGAATCTGTTGTGTTAAGCTTCTGAGATGTGAGAGTTGATATATTTCAGCAGATACTATAACCTTAACTAACATAAAAATAAAGAAGGGGCCGGGTGCAGTGGCTCACGCTTGTAATCCCAGCACTTTGGGAGGCCAAGGTCAGGAGTTCAAGACTAGCCTGGCCAACACAGTGAAACCTGTCTCTACTAAAAATACAAAAATTAGCTGGGCATGGCGGTGGGTGCCTGTAATCCCAGCTACTCAGGAGGCTGAGGCAGGAGAATTGCTTGAACCCGGGAGGTGGAGGTTGCAGTGAGCTGAGATCGCGCCACTGCACTCCAGCCTGGGAGACAGAGCTAGACTCGGTCTTGAAAAAAATAAATAAAATAAAGTAAAATAAAATAAAATAAAGAAGGGCTTCAAAAGCCAATTTAAGGAGTTTCAACTTGATTTTCATGGATAGCTAGCTTTACCAATCAGGGATCTTAGTTGCAAGCAACAGAAACCAACTCTGGATTACATAAGCAAGAAGGGAATTAATTGAAAGTACATTTGAATCCCAGCACTTTGGGAGGAGGGCGAGGCGGGCAGATCACTTGAGGTCAGGAGTTCGACACAAGCCTGGCCAACATGGTGAAACCCCATCTCTACTAAAAATACAGAAATCAGCCAGGCATGGTGGTGGGCACCTGTAATCCCAGCTACTTGGGAGGCTGAGGCAGGAGAATTGCTTGAAACCTGGGAGGTAGAGGCTGCAGTGAGCTGAGCTTGTGCCACTGCACTCCAGTCTGGCCAACAGAGCAAGACTCTGTCTCAAAACAACTAAAAAGAAAGTACATAAGTACATTGGGTAGCTCACTGAGTTGCCACCAAGAGTAGGGAACCAGGGTTAGAAAATGGGCAGGAAGAAAGGGAAGGTGAACAGCCAGAACCACAGGTAAAAACCAACCTCAGAACTAGACTGTCGAGGATACTGCCACTCTCACTGCTGCACACTGGATATTCTGGTTTAGATGGCCTACACACTGCATACCTCTGTCACTTCCACGCCTAGAAATTGGGTCAACACCCAATTTGGGTGTTGGACTGCTCCTCTGTGTTTGTTTCTTTTCATCATCAACTCCAGATTCAAAATCCCAAGAGGATGCAGCAGCTTGGCCAAACCAAGGGCAAGTATTCAGGCTCTGATTGCCAGAGGGTCTGACAAAGAGAGCATCTCTGGGCTTTTCAGCTCCTGTGTTGGAGGAGGCCACCTTTGCCTTCCATCAAGAGTCGGACAGTGAGGCATTTCCTGAACTTGGAAGGATGTCAACCAAACCACCACTCCAAAGCAAGGAAAACTCAAATCAACAGCAACAAAAACAAAAACTACCATTATTACTACTAGTGAAACAAATGTCCACTCCAGGGACTGCTGAAGAGTTTTAAGCTGGAAAGTAATGTTGTCAAATACACTTTAGAAAGATTCTTTTGTTGGCAAACTATTGATTGGATTGGAAGAAGGCCAGGCTGTAAGGAGGAAAATAAATGAGGAGAGCCGCATTGGTCATCACCTGGGAGCTTGTTAGAACTGCACAGTGTGGGTCCCCACCCCGACCTGGTTTAAGGCAGCATATTTCCAATTTTAAGGTGCATATGAATCGCCCCCAGAAAACTTGATAAAACATAAATTCTGATTCAGTATGTCTGGGAAAGAGCCTGCAACTTTGCATTTCTAACAAGTTATCAGTTAATGTCAATGCTGCTGGCCCATGGATCACATTTTAAGGAGCAAGGATCTAGGTGAGACAGGAGAAGGGCTTGACTTAGGTTAGGGGGCCATGGGATGGAGAGATTTCAGATTCCAGTGTTACTAAGGAAGTGGAATCAACAAGACTTAGGTGATTGTTCCAATGTGATCTGATTTGCGAGAAGTCAAGGATGCCTTCTAGGCATCTGGTTTTTTGGGTAAGTAGATGGCAGAGTTTGGGGGATATTTTTTTCTTTTTGCTGATCTATATTTCTGATAAAGAATCGGCATTTACTTGTACACTAAAGAAAGGAGATGCAAAAGAAATCAATGACACTGCAAGGAGCTCAGGTGAGTAAAGGGATGTTTCAAAATATGATAAACATTTTAACTTTTGGTGAACAAAACACACCATTTTTATATAGTTTCTTGGATGTACTTCACACCAACTGTGAGGGGGACTGGAATTGCCACTAACTATTGCATGGCTAGAATCCAACTTTATTACCAAGAAGGCTTAGTAAAATGTGATATTTTTTCTCTTTAATTTCAGAACTAATCATGTTATAATGCTGACCAGGTGTGACATACTGATTTCTCTTTAAAAATACTTTCCAGGGAGCTGATTATGAAAACTACAGCAGGATAATATGTTTCTTTCAATACTGAACCCAATTAATTTCAGTGACTCATAAATGCTAGGGTGAAAATTAGAATATTAAAGCTCCATTTGTTTAAGAAAGAAATCATTTTGCTTCTTCATAATAGACTTCCTATTGTTTTGGACATAAATTTCTCTCTGAAGTTAGGTTAGAGAATCAGTAACACTAACGAAAGTTTCATTCCCCCACTTTATTGAAACAATTTTCACCCAACAGATGACAGGCTGCAGCTTGAGGAAGAGCTGATCACCTTTTAACTGAAGGTGATGATTATGACTAATACTTATTAAGCCCTTTCATGCAACATACATCTTGTTGAATTTCTCACAACACTCCAAGGTAGGCACTTTTAATCCCCATTATACAGATGAGGAAGATAAGGCTTGTGAGGGTCAGTAACTCGCCAAGTTCTCTGTCAAGGGCAAATGAGTGACAGAAAAGGCATCCCAGTCCAGGTCTGATTGCTTGCAGGTCATCACCCGCAAAAATCCACCACTGAATTCTACCAATGTTAAGTGTGAGACCATAAGGTACAACCTCCAATACTTACGCATGAGAAAAACAAAGTTCAGATGATTCCTGGGCCAGTGTGGTTTCTGATGCACTGTACTGCCTCTTACTGAAACTGGCCCAAATCTATAAAGTTGGTTAAATTGATCTAATTTGTAATATATATAGATGGTTCCTTGTTGGAATGAATTTGGGTGCCCTGGGAAGACTGTTTTATTAAGATATCCTTTTCAACATTAGATAGTTTCTAAAGTTCTACCATTAAATATTAATTCCTCTAACTTAGGCCATTCATATCTCTTTGTTAAAATGCAGTTGCTCAAGCATTTCAATGTGGATATAAGCAACCTTTTCTGAAAATAGGTTTTAATTGGAGAGAGGGAATGAGGCCAGAGAACAGAAGCAGGTTGAGATGAGTCTTAGGGCAAGAGGAAGAGGAAAAAGGTAAAACAAAAAAGCGGGGGCGGGGGCAGGGTGGAATCTAAGGACCTCAATGATAAATCATCTCTTTAACTACTTTGCTGAGGAACTGATTTAGACTAAGGGAGACTCTTAGGGTTAATGACAAACTTTTGTTTTGAATTGAGTAAAAGATGACATCAAGTAGGCCTGATTTTTCTCCTTCAGATCATCTACAAATACAATATAGATTTGGAGAACAGCTACAAACAGCTTGGAGAATAAGCCCTGAATCTGTCACCTCCTTGTTCTGTGACCTCAAGCAAGTCACCTTTCCCCCCACTGAGCCTTAGCTTTTAACATAAACTGCTATCAGATGGGCAAGACAGGAAGAGCCAGAACTAAGAATCGACTTGGTTGCTGGGCAGATGATATTTTTGAAATGCTCTGAGTCTGTTCTAACATTAAATCATCCTAGAGCTTATCTGTGCTGGACATGCTTCAAACCAGTTGACATTAAATGTCTTTCCAGAGACATCTCAACCTCCAGTGGCTTCTCTGATTCATATCTTCTCTTGTTAGTCATTACAGGATGGTCATTAGTGAGCCGACTCAGTTGTCCTTCTTAGCATTCTTGTTTGGCAAGAGAGGTCTCTGCCACACTCCTTCTCCTTAAAGGGTCCTTTCCCACTTCTGGATGAAGCAGAAGGAGAAAGAAACAGTTTACATAATGGTGTGATTGCACCAATGCCTCAAACTCATTTTTCCTCCAATTACCACATTTTCTGACAGCTAGCTTAGAAGTTGTTACCAATTTTTTTTCAGCCAGAGAGCTTCATTTATAGATCCAAGCTTATCAGAGGATAACTTTAAAGAACACATTTAAACAGAACTTCAGGTTTTAAAACAGAGATGAACGAGTGCTTTTTCACTGATGACATAGATTGGGAAGAGGGCAATTCCTCCTCTGTGAAAACTAGTCAAAGAGGTTAATGTTTGGGAATTTCCCCAATTAATCCTATGGATGAAATCCTTCTTAAAGCAACTTACTTAGATTGCAGCTGGGCTTGGGAAGCAGCAACAGACCTATTTACTCAGGCGATCATAGAGAAAAACCTGAGAAAACGGGAAGGGCCCTGACCACTAGCAGGCATTTGTGTGGTTGGTAAAACCTAGGGTTTGACACAATCCCTCAAACTTTGGAGACAGCCCCTTCTCATTTTATGACCATGATGGGCTAGAAGAATAAGTTGATTAAAATAAAAACTAGAAAAATGCAGTCTTCTGCTATGAGAAGAAAATGGGTTTAAGAGTCAAAAACACCCGGGCAGGTGCATATATCAAATGCTTTCTTCCTGGGCCTGAGAAACTGAAACATAGGAGTTAGGTGCATCTTAAAGGGATCACAGAATCCATCATTTCAGACCTGCTCTGTGTGAATAAGCTAGGAAAGGTGATGCAGCAGAGGCAGGACTGTGAAGAAATGTCAACTTGGAGTCAATGGGACCTTCAGGGACCTGTGTCCTATAGAGTCAGAAATAGGAATCAGAATTTCTAAAGTGGAATTCAGGCTTGAGAAGTTCATCCACCCAGCATGGATGAACATATAGAAATGGTCAGTAATAAAGGGAACATGTAAAAAAAAAAAAAAAGAAAAAGAAATAAAGAAAAGAAAAGAAACACCTGGGTTAGATTTCTTGCTTTGCTACTAACTAGCTAAATGGCCTTAAGCAAGACCCTACGCTTCTCTGAGCTTCAGAATCCCCATGTGTCTGGTGGGATTGCATACAGGAAGAATGGATAAGAAGAATCCAAAGGAAATGCTGAACACAGGGCTGGGTGCAGAACAAGTCCTCAATATGTGGGTGTGAGAGTGGCTTAGAAGACCATTTCCTGGCATCTACCCCCGTCTCATTCCTGATGGACTTGGCCTCTCCCATCCAATGTTGTCATGTTGCTCTGGCCATACCTGAGCTCACTTCTGAGACTGCATAGCAGAGAGATGGAGAAAGGGGTGGTAGGTGCAGTGTCACCTGAGAGTGTCACACAGATCTTAAATGGCTCCCCATTGCCTCAGAAGCACCCTGGCTGTGGAATTAGCCAGGCCCAGATTTGAATCCCAGTTCTGTCCTAACCTTCTTTGACTTTGGTGAAGCCACTCCCCTAGCTGAGCATCTGCATTTTCTAGCTGTAGAAAAGGGACTATAATAGTGCCTATTTCATACGATCATTGAAGGATTAAATGAGATGATGCATGGGAAGTTTTCAGGACAGGACCTGGTATACATCAAGCACGTGATTAATGTTTGCTATTGTTGATACTATTTATTATTCTTTTATCAATATTTATCACCACCTGGTTCCCACTTGTTTGTTGCCTTGCCTCCCTCCATCTGTCTTCACACACCACCATGCTTCAGCTACTTTGAAATACTATTCTTAAAATGTATTGAGCACCTACTGTGTTCCAGGGCCTTCCTAAGTATTGGAAACCCACTAACGAATAAGACTTAGTTTATATGACACAGGAGCTTGTGGTCTAGACAAATTCTCTTTGCTGTTTCTAAAACTTTCTCATACTTTTATGCCATTATGTCTTTTTAGATGCTTTCTGCTGCTTAGAAAGGCATTTTTGCCTTCTCTCATTGCTGTAGTCTTATTTATTACTTATAGTCCAGTTTGATGGTAAAATATTTTCTGATCCCTCAAGGAAGAATTAAATAATCCTTGTTCTTCAATTCCATAGCATCTTGCATAAAATTCTATTATGGCACTTACTGTAGTGGGGTTTTAATTTTTAATTTTTCTTCCTTTTCTTTTTTTTGGAGACAGGGTCTCTCTCACTCTGTCACCCAGGCTGGAGTGCAGTAGTGCGATCATGACTCACTGCAGCATCAATCTCCTGGGCTCAAGGGATCCTCCCATCTCAGCCTCCTGAGTAGCTGGAATCACAGGCATGCACCAACCACTACACCTGGCTAACTGTTTTTTTTTTAAATTTAATTTTGTAGAGATGGGATCTCACTATGTTGCTCAGGCTGGTCTCAAATGATCCTCCCTCCTTGGCCCCCTAAAGCATTAGGATTACAGGCGTGTATTTTTATATGTCTGTTTCCACTTCTAGCAGTGGAAACAGACATATAAAAAAAATGTATGGGAGCTCATTGAGGGCAGAGACTCCCTCTCATTTATCCAATAACTATTTATTGAGACTTATGTGCTAGGGGTCACTATACATGCTGGAGATATGAGAGATACAATACATGGTTCCGACTCAAATAATTCAAAGTTTAGTAAAGAAGCAGCCATTTATCTATCACATTCAATTTAAATTGACAATTGGGTTTTGTTTTTGTTTTTGTTTTGAGTTGGAGTCTTACTGTGTCACCCAGGCTGGAGTGCAGTGGCACAATCATAACTCACTGCAGCTTCAAACTCCTGGGCTTAAGCAATCCTCCAGCCTCAGCCTCCCAAGTAGCTGGGACTACAGGTATGCACCACCATGCCTAGCTAATTTTTAAATATTTTGGAGAGGCGGGGTCTTGCTTTGTTGTTCAGGCTGGTCTCGCACTCCTAACTTCAAGTGATCCTTCCACCTCAGCCTCCCAAAGTGTTAGGGTTATAGGCATGAGCCACTGTGCGTGGCCTCAGTTGATAATTGTTGTAGGGAACACCTACATCAGTCTCATTTGTCTGTGTATTCCTAGTACCTAGGTCCTGTTAGTGGACATGATTTGAATTCCGTAACCAAAAATATTTCCCCTAATGGCTGGTCACAATGCTAAAATTTCACAATTCAAATTTGTTTCCTTTAGGTCTATATTTATCAGGATTCTTTTGATGGCAAATGACAGAGACCCAACTTTAATTAGTGTGAGCGAAAAGAGGAATTTATCGGCTCAGCAAGGAAAATATGAACAGCTAAACAATGCAACAGGCAGGCAGAACTGGATTTCAGGAAGAAGTGGTATTCAGGGCTTGGTGCCGGATTCTCTCTCTATCCTCTTGCTCAGTATGTTGATGTCATTCTCGTGGCAGGCTAGCTTTCTCTCTGCGTGGTGGTGTTGGAGGCTATGTAAATGCATCACTCAGGTCTCCTTGAGGTGGCCATGAGAATGTGCCTGAGGGAACTGCAGCTACCGAGAGTTTCATGGACCTCCCTCCCCAGCTGCTGAAATTCATTGCCTGTTTTTGTGCTGAGATGATGCTTTCCATGTGCTGCTCCCAGCCAGTGACTGTGTGTGTCAGAAATAGGAAGGCAGGCCCATTCCTGGAAGACCTGGAACCCCCTCAAGACCCATTTTGGCTTGAGGACTTCCCAGCAACATTGTCAGGCCTTCCTTGGACCACATGGTAGTTCAGGATGCTCCTTCTCACTCCCTTTCAGCTGGGGTTTAACTTGCACTGCAGTCCAGCGGTTCTCCCATCCTTCCCTGGCTCCCTTCCCCATTTCCTCTCCACCTAATAGCATCTTTGCACACTGAATTC